>NC_000006.12:10060000-10211515 GCF_000001405.40 Homo sapiens
TCCTCTGATTGACTTCTATTTCCCAAAATATCCTTATGCATATCTGAAATCTTCCTTGAATAAGAACGAATGTACTATCATCAGATAATTCTCATAGGTTGCAATTGTTGGAAATTTCATTTTTAAACTACACAGACTTAGGTATCTCATTGAAATTCTGCTAGCTCTAATCTTAATTCCTAGCTGCATAATTAATGCAATTGCTTGCAAATGTGCTCTGCAAGTGCCCTGTGATATAATGTCTTCTGCGTTGCTTGCACTAAGAGAGATTTTATAAACCTTCCTTGCTTTCAACAAGAAAAAAAAAATGCCTGAGTTGAGTGGTGCCCAGGGGAAAAAAAAAATCACTCTTTCTCCTTCAGAAACCTTTTTTGTTAGTTTCTGCCTTTTGGTTTATTATTAAAACTCTACCTGCACCCTGCAACTAGGCAGTATTGGCTTTTAAAAATGTGTTTTCCTGTTGGCATCCTTGCCTGACTATTCAGTCCTTGCTATATTCTTTGTAGTTACTCATGAAGGAATGTCTGTTACTTACTCCAAACTCCACGCTCCTAAATTCCAGACACCCAAGAGCAAAAATAGAATCGAAGAAGATGAAGCAAAACAAGGAGAAATAAATGACAAGAGAAAAATAAGAATGAGAACGTACCCAAGGGCAGGGTTCTTTCCAGACTTGTCTCTTCCCCCTGCTACAGCCAAGGCCACGATAAACAGAGTAGGGAAGAGGACACAGACCAAATGGGATTCTGGGTGAGACGAAGATGATCTGGGAAAAAAGAATGACAGATCTTTCATTGCAAAGATGTTAGCACTCATCTTAAGAGATGAGGGATTTCGTAGGAATAGGGCTTGCCACCCAAATTCTGGTAACTTTCATCCTATATTTGTAATACCTTCTAAAAGAGTGATTCCTAAATTTAAGGATATTGTAAGAATCACCTGGGGAGCTGGTTAAATATTCAGATTCCAAGCTCCTCCCCAGAGATACTGATCCAACAAGTCTCTGGTGAGGTTCAGGAGCCTGGATTTCTAACAAGCGCCTGTGTGATGATTCTGATTTAGGTAATCCCAGGATTACAGTTTAAAAACTATGTTTTGCAATAAAACTGCCCATTTTTGGAAAGAAAGGGAAAAAAAAAGCACGAAAGATAAAAGGAAAAAGTTACTTGTTAAAAGGACTTTTCTTTTCTTCCCCCAAACCTGAAGTTCTTAAAAATATATGTAAAAACCCAAAATGTGTTAAAATTCAGATAAACATGAACTAAGCACTGTACACCTTAAAAATCTATTTTAATAGAATCTGTGCAGATCATTTAACTTATAAAAAGAATGTAAGAGATCAGAAAGTCCATTTTTATAAAATATTACTTTATTATGCTGTTTACAATTTTTTTTAAAGAGTATACATATTTTCCTAAAAAAAAAGTCATACTATCAAATACTTCTTTTTACCCTTTCCATGAAACAATTCACAGCCAAATACATTTAGCACATTAGAACTTTGATCTCCAATTTCAACTAACCAGTAGGGTAATAGTTACATTTGAGGTCACAGTGAGGTCTTGACCTCTCTTAAGGCTTTTTTTCTTCAAGGAAACTTCCACTCTCATCATCAATTTTGAAATAACTCACTAGTTGCCCAAGTTTTAATACCTTACATTGGAGCAAATAAATCTGAGCTTGAGCTAGCAACATTCACTAAAGTATTACTTTACCACTCAGTTTCCTATTAGAGTCTGGACTGGAAAAATCACCCATATTTTTTTTAACAACTTCTGTAAAAGTGGTTAAATTCTTGAGCAGCAAAGGCAACCACATATATTTCCACCACATAAGATTTTCTATTTATGTTTTATATGTGTACAAAAGTAAATAGTCATTTAACATTGTATCATAGTATCTTTCTCAAAAAGTTGCACTATTCCTTTTGTAAAATAGTCCATCATCAACTTATTCTGATGTAAAAACTAACCTTACATTCAAAGCCTACGATAGTATATTTAAAGCTGAAATTATATATTGTAAGTTAAAAAAATCCCATTCAAAAATGTTTTCTACACTCAAACGCTCTTGTTTTTTGTTTTCTTTGGAAAGGTTGGGTGAGAATTGGCACGTAAAAATTTTGCTGCCTGATTTCCCCATCACTTATTACAGCTGGCAGAAAGTTCATAAAAGAATAGAGATAACTGTCAAAGCACATTAGCAGTTGCAAAGAAAGAGACAAAAGAAGAATGCCACCATTATTATTTATAGTTGTTCACTGGGGTGAGTTGAGTTTTACTTTTTCCTACCTGAAAAGTGGAGAAAATATGTCATCACTACATATTGCACTTATAACCCCATACTGCTGGGTTGTAATTCAGCCAACATCCAGGATAGTTTTAATGTGTTTATCTCCAATAAAAGTAAGCACTGTGGATACCAAATTAAAAATCCTCTGGGGTTGTTCATTGCCTATAGCATTCTAAAAGTAAATATATCTCAGTTAAAAAATGGAATTTTAAAAAGTAGTTCTTGGAATCAGAAGACCTACATTTGAGTATGGTTGAATGATATTAAGCCATGTAATGTGGAGAGGATAAAATGGTGAGTGCAAATGCAAGGTCCTCACCATCACAACACTGATCTACTGTAGAAAGCAGATCTTAATCAAATTTTCACCAAAAAAATAGTGTAAATGTTAACTGTACACAGTAAACTAAGATTTGTGTATGAGAATTCGGTATAGGATAAACTAATTTAGAGGGTCAGAGAAGACAACTAAAAAAGTGATCTGGAAGTTGAGCTTTAAAGGGTGAGTAGGAGTTAACCATAAATAGTTAACCAAGGGAGAGTCTGGGAGGAGAAGCAGGGGGAATCCCATGGGTGTGGACAAAGTATCTGTGGAAACCAAGTCCAACAGGAGCATAGAGTGTCCAAGAGAAAGTTCGTGTGGCTGGAGTACACACAGCTAACACAAAATGAATTTGGGGCCAGTAGGCAGGGCACACAGGACCTTGCATATTGTATTCAGGATTCTAGTCATTATCTTAGAACTGGGGAGTCATTGAAAGGTTTTGTGTGGGTGAATGTGTGTATGTGTGTGTGTGCTTGTGTGTACACTCTGACAACACAGGCTCTGGAGGAAGGATCATGCATGATCGTATTTATACTTCAACTCAGTCACTCTAGCTGGGATATGGAGAAGACATTAAAAATTGAAATGGAAATCAAGCTACCTATGGAGACTGGATAGAAAGCTAATGCCTTGATCTAGGGAAGAGGTGATGAAAAAATGGCCCAAGATAATTACCAGGAAGCAAGTCAGGAATGAAACTCTGTCCACTGTCCCTATGGGCCATCCATTCAGTTCTCAGCCAAAGATCCAGTTTGAGGGGGAAAAGATAGGTCCTGTTGATTTTGAGCTGCCTTTGAGAAAACCAAGTAGACATAAGAGTAGACAACTGGCTAATATAGTTTAGAGCCCCCAGGGTACACCAAGGCTAAAATTATTTGAGTTGTGAGGATGTTCTAAAGGAAATATAGGATTTTCCTATATGGAGACTAAGGGACATTCCAGAAAGAACACTTGTAATCACACTAAAACAAGAACACGTAGAGTCTGTTCTTTCATTAACCATGAATGCAAAGTATTTTCTTTTATAACACAATTTAATCAAGACTTTTAAAAAATTAAGCCCTAAAAGGCATTAATCCATTATTTCTGGATTATTTCTCTTTCCTTCATCTAATGGAATGGTAATTTTAGAGTAGACTCACGTAATACATGAAGTAACCTCATAATAAAGGGTGAATTCCTACATCCCATGAAATTTACAACTTCTCTTTTCTTATCATCACAACTTATCCAAAACTTTATAGAATTTAAAATCCCTTCTAAGCTTCTCAACTATTTCTACAATTTGTTAAAATATCTGGTAGATTTTTGCCTTTGATTTTTTTTCCTCAAACCCGTTGTCACCAAACACCATAATTTGGGCATCCATAATTCACTATTAATAACAAAAAACAAAATGTGCAAGTGAGTTAATTCTTTATGAAATTAGCTTATATGCAAATTATTCTTTTAATTAAGGTCAGTCTCATTGATTGCATTCAAATACACTTTCTGGAGAGGAAGAGAAATCTGTGGAATTGCAGTCAACGTGCAGGGATTTGCAGGGGGAAATAACAAAGCTTATCTGCATCACCAACCACAGGGTGTCAGATACGTTAATGTCATCTTTCACATGTGCTGCGTTCGAAGAAATTGAGAACTACTGCTCTAAACATCAAAATTTTGAAACCCCAAATAAAATATATGAACAATAATACATTCATTTTTCTTTTTATGCAAGTCAGAAGAAAAATATTGCAGATGCTTTATTTTATAAGTCATTCCAAATAGTGAAGTAATTATTTTTCAGATACAAAAGAATAAACTTAAAGCAGCATTTACTATATATGTATTATATATATATAATTTTTTTTCACTGGGAACAAACTAACAAGTACAGGTAGAATTACCTTCTGTAAATGCTTGCAAAACAAAGCAATTGAAACATTTAATTTTATGTGTTGTGACATGAAAGAGAATGCCATCAACACACATCTATTTAACTGAGCACACAGTGAAATTATACCCAAGAAACTGGCTACTGGTTTTAGTTTTTCATGTGGGAAAACCTAGAACACAGACTATGTCCTTAATACATTTATTATCATGAGATTATAAAAAACAGTAAGTACTGCAATGAATTATAAGACATATTTCTTATTCAACTTAAAAAGTTTCCCATAGGACTTTCACAGGATTTCCTTTTTGACATAAAGTTTATATTGGAAGTATAAACTCTTGAAAGGATAACATATATTTGTTTTGTTTTTTTGTTTTGGGGATGGGTTTTTTGTTTTTGTTTTTGCAGCAGGGCCTCACTCTGTCACCCAGGCCGGAATGCAGTGGCGCAATCTCAGCTCACTGCAACCTCTGCCTCCCGGGCTTAAGCAATCCTCCCACCTCAGCCTCCAGAGTTGCTGGGATTACAGACACATCTCACCACGCCTGGCTAATTTTTGTATTTTTTTGTAGAGATGGGGTTTCACCATGTTGCCCAGGCTGGTCTCAAACTCCTGAGCTCAAGTGATCTGCCCACCTCAGCCACCCAAAGTGCTGGGATTACAGGTGTGAGCCACTGTGCCCAGCCAAGATGGCATATATTTGGATGCAAAGACAGTAGATTCTAATGTCTTAAACAATGCCTGGAATGGTATTTCTTTATTTCAATATATATATTGTTCTGAAGTGATTAGGTTATAAAATTACTATTTGAGAAATTTTCTTCTGTTTAGAAACAAAAAAGTTTGCCATTCCTTCAGAATAGTTGCCATACGATTACCAATTTAATCAATTTTTGAGCACTCTCCACCTTTAGATTCTATTCTATATTCAGGCGATCCAGAGATTTAAAAATAAACAATTCCTGCTATCAAGGGCCAAAATCTATTGGGAGAGAAAAAGACATGGAAACAAAAGAAGTAGTTACACTATAGAAGCAGAGTAATTGGAGTGAGAAACAAATAGAGTGGCTTTGTTGTGATGTAAATTTTGAGTATAAATTTGAAAATCGAACATGAATTTGGCAGATATATAATTTGAAGGTAGGCACTCTAGAGAGAAGGCAGAAGTAAACAGACAGTGAAGCCTGCAAGACCTCCATGTGTTCATGGAGCTGTAGGTAATTAGGGATGATTAGAATTCAGGATGAATCTGAACAGCATTGTGTCAGAAAAGTAAACTTGCAAGTCAAATACAAGGACATACACCACTTAGTAGACCACAGAAGGCCATTAAAGAGTTCGAACAAAGAAGGCCAGGTGTGGTAGATCACACCCTGTAATCCCAGCATTTTAGAAGGCAGAGGCAGGAGGATGGCTTGACTCCAGGAGTTCAAGACCAGCCTGGGCGACAAAGTGAGCCCTCATCTCTACAAATAATAAAAAAAATTAGTCAAGTGTAGTGCTGTGCCTGTGGTCCCAGCTACTGGGAGGCTGAGGTGGGAGGACTGCTTGAGCTGGGGAGGTTGAGGCTGCAGTGAGCTGTGATTGCACCACTGGATTCCAGCCTGCATGACAGAGCAAGACTCTGCCAAAAAAAAAAAAGAGTTTGAATGAAGAAGCAACAGGATTTTATTTGAGTTTGAGAAAGATGATCTCAATGGACATGGGGAGGATGAAGTCTATCTAAATAATGGAAAGTGATACCACATTTTTAAAGAAATACTGAATTAACTAAAATGTCAATTATTCCTAATCATCTTAAGGTTTTAATGAAATTGAATTCAAATGCCAATAAAGTTGCCATTGTTTTTGTTTAGGTGAAGAGAATATGACAAGATGATTCTCAAATTCATGTTAAATTGTTAAGATCATTGTTTTACATTAAATATTTCCAATGATACTCATAGGAGACTCAAGAGAGGTAAATAAGAAAATTATGCCCATTTGTCAGGTAAGGATTCTGAGGGTGGGGCAATTTAAATAATTTATCCAAAATCACATAGCAAATGGTGTGCAATGGGCTTCTGACACCATAGTTTATTATCTTAAAATATTATAGATGACTTCTTTATAGCAATATATCAGAAATTTTGGATAATCTAAATGTGAAGCTACTGGAGAACAAATACATAAATTAGAGTACTTTCATGTGAAAGATTCATATAAATCATAATTATAATAAACATAAAAGCCTAAACATAATGATTTAAAGAGAGATAATTAAAATCCTGGATTTTTACAATTTAGGCAGTTTCTGAGAGACATTGTAAATTGTAAAGATATAGAAAGTTTAAAAGCAAAGTGATGGGGGTAAATATATTAAAAAAACACTAACCAAAAGACATCTGGTATTCTTATACAAATAACAGATAAAGTAGATTTCATTAAAATCTACTGATTATAAAAAGGATTTCTATATAATTCTTTAAAAAAGCATTTCATCCAAAAGCAAAATAATTCCAAATATATATGCATCAAATAAGATAGCTTCAATATGTACAAAACAAAAACTGATGGAATCATAAAAAGAAACTTACAAATATATCATTAGAGTAGGGGGTTTTAACATGCTTCTCCTAGTAGCATATCAAACAGCAAAAATTTTTAAGGATATAGATTGAACAATACAAAAATCAGTTTGATCCAACTGGCATATAGAGAACAATGCACTAACAATTGAAAAATACATGTTCTTTTCAAGTATACATGGAACACTTAAAAACTTGACCATGTAAAAGGCCACAAAATAACTTCAACAATCTTTGAAAAACTGGAAGCGTACAGATCACAATCTCTAATCACAATGCTATGGAGTTATAAATTGACAACAAAAAAGTTAAATATCTCACCACCTATACTCCTGGAAGCAAACAAACTTTTACACAACATAATGTTATGAATAACTGAAATAAAAACTAGATGGGAAATAAAATGTTGTTGTATATAATTAGTTAACACCTAAGGAGCACATACAAATTTGTAAGAGAAATATTAAGATTGCAACAGCTAATAGCCAAAGGTTAAATACTTGAAGTAAAAATTAACCAATAAGGAAACACAAAGAATACCTAATCTCACTAAGAGTTTAAGAAATACAAATTAACTCAACACCAAACTATCATACCAATTAAATTAGCAAAATTTTATTTACTTTTAGAATGCATTGCCGGTTGAGACCAAAACAAAAATTGTGTATTTATGCACTGTTCATGACAGTGCAACCTGGTACAATTATGGATTGCAACATTGAACCATAAAATTGAACCATAAAAATCTTCCTACACTTTGACACAATAATATCACAATTTGGAAAGAGTTACTTTAATATGATTTACTAATTCATGCTTCACTAAAGGAGCCTTTGCTTTTGCCACAGCTATTAGAAGAATTCTGTTTCCTTTACTCAAATGAAAAAGGTACCCATTTATTCCATTAACTTCACATAGCCACACGTCTGTAAAAGCCAATATATACAACTTTTTAAGCAATTGTACCATATACCTCCAGCTAAATATGAGAAATACTGAACAGAGCTACTATCACGTACATTGTGTTGTATCAAAAACATATTTTGCAATAATAACTGTTATTCCCTATTAGGAAAATGCATGTAACAGGTTTCAAAATGACTGACTTAAAAGAATGTGTATAGAATTGTATAAAACTCTGTTCTTGGCTAGGTTATGTTTATTTCTCCTGGAAGTTTTAGAGGTTGTTCAATTGTTTGTTTGTTTGTTTGTTTTGAGGAGAAAGCAGAGTAGCAAGTGAACTTGGTCCATTGGCTATTGATACCATTTATTGACGCAGGTGTTTTCTCCTAAAACAAAGTTTAATAAACGTTTTGAAAAATAAAATTAAAATTGAATGTTTTTAAAAAACCCTTCTTTTGTCCAGCCAGCACAGGTAAATAGTTTATTGTGTTGGTTCAAAGTGATCATGTTAGCCATGTTTAGGAGAAATTTGGATCCCCGTCAATGACTTCTGAAGTCAATGACAGAAATGGATAGAGGAGAGGAGGGAGTAGAGGCCTTGGAAGAACAAGCAAGATGACTTACTTAGCAACCCCCTCATGGTATCCTGCCATCGCATTGAGCATCCTTGAAACTCACTGGAGCTCCCTTCCTGGAATGCATTTGTACCGAAAGGTAACAACCAAGTTAAATTAATAACCAAAAGATGACTCAGAGAGAAACAAGAATGCTTTTTCTCCCTACTCTACTATATTTAGAGCCATTTTTCAAAATCAACATCCTCCAAGTCCATGGACTTTCGGAATAGAGAGTTGGGCTTATGAGAAAATTACGTTTTTGAAGTAACTACCATTCATTTAGTGTTTGCTATGTGCCAGCCCAGGTAGATTGCTTCACTTGGGATATTTTATTTAATCCTCACAGCAACTCTGTGACATAGACCATTTTATTCTCACCATCAAAAACAATGAGAAAACTAAAGCACAGAGAAGTTTAGTAACTTACCCAAGGGCACATAGCTAGCAGGAGGAGTAGTCTGGAATCCAGCTGAGAGGAGGATAGAGGCATAGTTATGATCCCCTCTTCAATGAGGTAGAAATGGAGACTCGTTAATTCTTGCCCAGTCTTCATTTAGCACATCAGGAAGTGTCAGGTCCAGGAGTTCAGCCTTGATGCTATATGCTAATCATGTCTTTTGATTTTCTATATGCTGAAGCTCTTGACATCTGAGCCTTGCTGAATATGGAGGGACAGCCCCTCTACCCCAGAGCCCCCCAAAATTATTCAAACTAGCCAATCCAAAGCATGTTCACTCTGCTTTGTCTATTCTTTCCCATGGAAACCATAAGGCTTCTGTTCACAGTCCCACCCTCCCCCTCTGCCTCCTGACTGACCCTGTTGCTGTCCCTGTGCCCCCTACACCCCATGGCATGGCATGGCCCCCCTTTGCTTTTGGGGTCTGTAAATCATTTTTATCAATGGCAGTTATCCCCTAATCTGTTGGCCTCACTATACCTAAGTAATAATAAAACATCACATACTGTGATGTCAGTACCTATGGTTTTCCTATCATACCAGATGGACTCCTATTGTTATCAGGTATATATAAAGCTTTCTATGGCCAGGTGGGTAAGCCCTCTTCTATCTCTCAAATACTTCTAAACATGTGTATAAAAATGGTATTAATGTCTTCAATAGACTTCAATCTATTTAACATGTCAATGTATTGTTTTGCTAACATGCAAAGTGATTAAGTTCTAGGAAGAGTTACCCAATTTCTATGGCCAGATCTAATTAAGAAATAAATATTGTTAAAATAAGCACAATATTGGTATATTTTTAACACTTAATGATTCATTTTATGGCCTAAGAAATCACTGCTTTTGATACATTGCTACATCAATCTGCTTTAGACATTTGACATGTACATGTGAAAGGTATGATTTTGACACTTTTCTTGTTAGAGATGTGGAAATGTAATCATCATCGGTTCCAACCTCCGAAATTAAGGTGATAAAAATTACAGATTTTTTTAAATTTCCATGTTTTGAAATTATTTTAAATGGCTAAATTGATTTCTACTTTTCAAAAAAATTATAGGGGGAAAAATTCTCCCAGGCTAAGACCCGATCAGGAGAGTTTTAGCCTGGAGCAAATTTTTACAGCTCAGTTATAAACCCCTGAAATAGGAGTTCATAATGGAAATGGCTGCTCAACCTTAACTATTGCGGGTGCCACTATAATAAAAACGGCAGGAGTTCACATTAACATTGGCTTCCCTTACACTCTTTCCTGTTAGCCATCCATTAACCAAACTACACTACCTAATGGAGGTAAAGGCCACAGCTTTACTCTCAACAAAAATAACAAGATAGCCAACTTACAGGTGGTAAATAACATATTCCCCCAAACATCAGAGTGTACAAACATCCCCTGGAGGCCACTCTCCAATCTAGAGAATAACATCCACTCCAATGATTTCAAATTAGGAATAATGTCTCAGCCTGCAAAACACTAGGCAATGACACTGATTTCCTGTTTATTTTTTTAAATGTATTACATTTTCGGCCGGGCGCGGTGGCTCACGCCTGTAATCCCAGCACTTTGGGAGGCCGAGGCGGGCGGATCACGAGGTCAGGAGATCGAGACCATCCCGGCTAAAACGGTGAAACCCCGTCTCTACTAAAAATACAAAAAATTAGCCGGGCGTAGTGGCGGGCGCCTGTAGTCCCAGCTACTTGGGAGGCTGAGGCGGGAGAATGGCGTGAACCCGGGAGGCGGAGCTTGCAGTGAGCCGAGATCCCGCCACTGCACTCCAGCCTGGGCGACAGAGCGGGACTCCGTCTCAAAAAAAAAAAAAAAAAAAGTATTACATTTTCAGTGTTTGTAGAGAGAATAATTTTTTTAAAAACTCCTTTATAATGAGACTATCTTTATATAATACATTCATATATGCTGACAGGTACATGATTTTCCAAAATTAGAAACAATATTTGAATTGAAGTACCTGAATATTTCATTCGTAGACACCACCACAGAGTGATCCAGATTAAACTACGGTGGAGTTTTACTTGAGTGTCATCTTTAAAATCCCCAAGAATGAGGAAGGAACCAGCATTTTTATGAGCTTATATGCCAGATGCTTTGTGTCTATTACTTAGTTCTTATAACAAAACCCCACTATTATCCCCCATTTACCTATAAGAAAGTTGAGGCTCAGGTTGGATAAATAAGGTTTTGCTTTCATAGAGCTCGTAAATGGAGGAGTAGGATGAGCCTCCAGTTCTGTCTTATGGTAAACTAACTGTGCTGTCAGATTACAAAAAGAGAAAGAAGAGAGAACCCACCACTTCCAATCATTCATTGTTTCTTTAAGCCTAGTCGAGTAATCATATTAATTGTTTTTCAATCAAAAGATAATTGTCTTGGAGAGCTTTAAAGTTTGCAGACCTTATGTGGAGACTTTGTAAGGCATACTAGATTAATGTATTATAGTTACATAGAATTGGCAGCCAAACATTTTCTGCTGACCAACAGAACTGATTCTTCCAGGATTTCACGTGACTTCTAAATGCCTGGAAAACTCACCATTCAGTGAACCATGCTGCCTCCCTGGGCAGTGCCCTATAGGCACCTTCCTTACAATGACATTCTTTTGAATCTTTAGTCATAAGCAACTTCCCCCACTCCTTGGTTTTGAGCTCCATTCCATAGGTGACAATGTGACAACAGCAATGTTCCAACACACAATTCTCAGTCTGTTTTCACATGAAAGTGAGCTTTGTTCAACTTCATTGGAAGCCTATTCCCAACCTATTTTTTCATTTGAAACTCTTCAAATCAAACAGGTCACTGAATAAAATGTAAACACTTAAATATCTATGCTGTTAACATAACCACCCTCTGTCCTTTCTCCAAAAATAAACTGAGAACTTGGTTGTGAAAAGGGTGGGAGGAATGAAGAGACGAGAAAAGTCCCACAGTCTCCGTGAAGCCAGTCTTGACAAACTGGAAGAGAGGCATTGATTTCTACTCAACATAACTCTGAGCACGCAACATCCCTGGCTCTTCCCCTATTGTGAAAAATACAGTGGTGCCATTGTCTGTAATGTAAATGTCTTAGATATTTACATGATTTCTGAACTGGGTCATTGTTTATATTGTCACCTGTATATGCCGTGATGTTTTTTCCAAATTGACTTCGGAAAGCAAGGTAGCGAGTACATGTCTTTGACTTATTGTGGGACACAGCACAGCATTATGTCCAGGTGAATATTTTAAATCAATAGTTTGATTTTCATGTGATTTTAGAGAAATCCAGTATTGACATGTAAAGATTCTATTACATGTATAGGTACACATTTTCTTTCTGAAGTTAAAAAAAAAAGTTATCTGATAGCTGTGGGAAGCTTTTAAAAGTAATGGACCCTTTTTCTGGAAAAGTGTAGTTCTCATATATATGATGTTTTATATATGATTTCAGGGAGTTAAAATATCGCTTTATAAACCTATGCAATTCTTAGGAACCAAAAACCCCAATTTAAGACCCTTGCTCTCTAGGGACTATACTAAGTATAATTTGTTTTCAAAGATTACCCTGGGCCAGGTGTGGTGGCTCACGCCTGTACACTTTGGGAGGCCGAGGTGGGTGGATTGCTTAAGCCCAGGAGTTCAAAGGCAGCCTAGGCAACATGGGGAAACAGTCTCTACAAAAAATTCAAAAATTGGCAAGGTGTGGAGGTGCAAACCTATGGTCCAAGCTACTCGGAAGGTTGAGGTGAGAGGACTGAGCCCAGGAGCGGGAGGCAGAGGTTGCTGTGAGCCGAGATCGTGCCACTGCACTCCAACCTGAGCAAGAGAGCAAAACCTTGTCTCAAAACAAAACAAAAAAAAAGATTATTTTGGAATACATATAAACGAGATTCAGCATCAAAAATTTAAATCTCATTCTTAGATCTCCCACTGCATGACTTTAAAAATGAACTCTTTATTTTTCTTGGCCAAAAAATACCTTCAACCACAATAGGAAGAGGATCAAGTGTAGGGTCACCCCAGCACTTTTTTTACCTCAGATAATTTACAAGGGAAGAAAATAGTGGAAAGGCATTTGACTTATTAAATATACACGTAAGTGTATACACACACACGCACACACAGATATAGATACAAATGTATGTTAGAAGATACTTGCCTTGGAAAGCTGTAAAATTCGATGGGATTATTCTAAGGCCTTGTATTTATGCAGATTTTGAATGATCCGGGAGAAGGTGTTTTGACATCTTGGCCTCTTATGCTAGCTAGGACTGACGATTCCAGGATTTTACTTGATCCTGAAAACACAGACAGTCCTATTTCACAGCAACAGAGCGATGATTCTTATAAGGGTGGTCCTCAGACCACCGGCAGCAGCACTAAGGAATTCTTTGCAATGCAATTTCTCAGCTCGACCGGAAACCTGCAGAAACTCTGGGAGTCGTTCCAGTGGCCCAGAGACAGGGTTAACAAGCCCCTAGGGATTAGTGGTTGCGCATCACTCCATTAAAGGGCTTTTCTGTCCACTGGGAACGGTATTTTAACCTTAGTCTGATTCCAGCGGCACAACTCCGCCCACATACACTTCTCAACTCTCTAAGAGTGACAGAGCATTCCCCTCCACATCAAGACTTGTTCAGAATTCTTTGTCCACACCAGGACACTAAAGGCTAAGTATAAAGGTGGGTTCTTGGTCTCACTGATGTCAACAACGAAACCGCGGACCCTCGCGCTCAGTGTTAACAATTCTTAAAGCTGGCGGTTCCTGAGTTTGTTCCTTCTGATGTTCAAGATCTGTTCGGAGTTTCTTCCTTCTGATGGGTTCATGGTCTACGCTGGTTCAGGAATGAAGCTGCAAAACTTTGCGGTAAGTGTTAACAGCTCTTAAGGCAGCGCGTCCGGAGTCGTTCGTTCCTGCAGGTGGGTTCATAGTCTCGCTGAGCTTCAGGAGTAAAGCTGCAGACTTTCACGCTGAGTATCACAGCTCAAAAGCAGTGTAGACCCAAAAAGTGAGCAGTAGCCAATAGCAAAATTTATTGCAAAGAGCAAAAAAACAAAGCTTCCAAGAAGCAAGCTACCGGTGCTGACTCGGGCAGCCTGCTTTTATTCTCTTATCTGCCCCACCCACATCCTGCTGATTGGTCCATTTTACAGAGAGCCGACTGGTCTGTTTTACAGAGAGCTGATTGGTCCGTTTTGACAGGGTGCTGATTGGTGTGTTTACAATCCCTGAGCTAGACACAAAAGTTCTCCACGTCCCCACTAGATTAGCTAGATACAGAGTGTGGACTGGTGTATTTACAAACCCTGAGCTAGACACAGAGTGCTGATTGGTGCATTTACAAACTTTGAGCTAGATACAGAGTGCCGACTGGTGCATTCACAATCCCTTAGCTAGATATAAAGGTTCTCCAAGTCCCCACCAGATTAACTAGATACAGAGTGCCAATTGGTGCATTCACAAACCCTGAGCTAGACACAGGGTGCTAATTGGTGTGTTTACAAACTTTGAGCTAGATACAGAGTGTTGATTAGTGTATTCACAATCCCTCAGCTAAACATAAAGATTCTCCAAGTCCCCACCAGATCAAGAGCCCAGCTGGCTTCACCCAGTGGATCCCGCACCAGAGCCGCAGGTGGAGCTGTCTGCCAGTCCCGCACCTGCGCCCGCACTCCTCAGCCCTTGGGCGGTCGATGGGACCGGGCGCCGTGGAGCAGGGGGTGGCGCTCGCCGGGGAGGCTCCGGCCGCGCAGGAGCTCACGGTGGCGGGGGGAAGCTCAGGAATGGCGGGCTGCGGGTCCCGAGCCCTGCCCCGCGGGGAGGCAGTTAAGGCCCGGCGAGAAATCGAGCACAGCAGCTGCTGGCCCAGGTGCTAAGCCCCTGACTGCCCGGGGCTTGCCTGCCGGCCGGCCGCCTAACCAGCCGCTCCGAGTGCGGGGCCCGCCGAGCCCACGCCCACCCGGAACTCGCGCTGGCCCGCAAGCGCCGCGCGCAGCCCCGGTTCCCGCCCGCACCTCTTCCTCCACACCTCCCCGCAAGCTGAGGGAGCCGGCTCCGGCCTTGGCCAGCCCAGAAAGGGGCTCCCACAGTGCAGCGGCGGGCTGAAGGGCTCCTCAAGCGCGGCCAGAGTGGGCGCCAAGGCCGAGGAGGCGCAGAGAGCGAGCGAGTGCTGCTGGGGCTGCCAGCATGCTGTCACCTCTCAAAAGGATCCAACCGATTAATATGCGGGCATTTGAGGGGCATGTGAATTTCTTACAGGCTAAAGCCCTTTTCAAACAGCATCTTTCTATGCTCGGATGAATAAAGACAATCCAGTTTAAGAAAATAAGCAAATGTGCATATTGTTCTTTCAAAAACAATAGGTATTTACTTGTTTAATTTTCCACTTAGGCTCCTCAGTTTATAAGTCCCAGTGAATTTTATTAGCAATTTCTTCAGAGAATCGCTGATGATAATTATCATTGAAAAAAAAATCCAAACACTTTAAATTACAGTTACAAATCATATAATTTTTTTTACTTTTAATTTTCACCATATTGTACAAATACATCTAATTATTCTCACTCTACATAGTATGCTACAAAGTGCCTTGGGGGACTGATTGGTTTATCAATTCAATTGGAAAGTTGGTTGTTTTGATTAACGTCAACAATTATCTATTATAATCAGTATCATAATGCCGTCTAATTAAGACAAAGAAAGTGCTTAAAAATTTCCAAACCTATTGCCTATATGAGTAAAAAACAAAATTCACAACAACAAAAAGCTGTCTGGTTTCATTCGGTGTAGAAACAGCCCGGCAAACCTCTTTCTCTAGTGGTAACATTGAATTATAGACCTGTATAAAAATTATCTACATGAAGATAATCTTGAGGCATCAAGAAAAGGTTAGATCAGGTCTGTGCTTGGTTTAAGAAGGTGGGAGATGGAACTAGGGGTAAGGACTTGGTTGTGTTAAGCAGCTATCCTTGAACTCAGTAAGAAAATAAAGGGCAAAGTTCCTTTTCCCTTAAAAAAGCCCCTATAACTGTAATCCCAGCCCTTTGGGAGGCTGAGGTGTGAGGATTGCTTGAGGCCAGGAGTTCAAGACCAGACTGGGCAACTTCGCAAGATCCCATCTTTATTAAAAAAAAAAAATTGGTGGCCAAGCACGGTGACTCACGCCTGTAATCCCAGCACTTTGGGAGGCCAAGGTGGGTGGATCACCTGAGATCAGGAGTTCGAGACCAGCAGCTAACATGGAGAAAAATACAAAAATTAGCTGGGTGTGGTGGCAGGCGCCTGTAGTCCCTGCTACTCAGGAGGCTGAGGCAGGAGAATCGCTTGAACCCGGGAGGCAAAGGTTGCGGTGAGCCAAGATCGCACCTTTGCACGAGAGCAAAACTCCATCTCAAAAAAAAAAAAAATGGTATCCAAGAAGACTCTCTCTATATATACATATATATATATGGTCTTTAAATATATATACACACACATATATATACACACACATATATATGTAAATATAAAGTTTTAGGGCCTTTAAATATATTTTATATATAGATATATTTATATAAATTTATATTAATATATTTATATAAATTCATATAGATTTAAATATATATATTTAAAGGCCCTAAGACATTATACTTACACATATATGTGTGTACATATACATGCATATACATACATATATTTAAAGGCTCTAAAACTTTATATTTATATTTACATACATATATTTAAAGGCCCTGAAACTAATACTGCAAGGGATAAGTCAGTGCTTCTTGAATGTCTTTTCTATCCCAGGGTTGCAGAGGGTTATGGAAGACACCCCTTAGCGGCCATGGGTGACTGGGCAAGAATGCTATCAGACACAGCCGGATGGCAGGGCTAGCTGCCCACCCCGATCTCCAGAGGGTTCCATCAGAATCTCCAGAGTCCTGAGTGCACTGAAAGGGCCTCCAGATGCCTGGGCTATGCCCTTCGGCAATTATTTAATAGTTGTGTGTCTCAGCTGAACTTTCAATATGAGGACAGGTTTGGAATTGTTAAAAGAGAAGCCTAGATGGTCCATCTGTAGACCTATTAAACAAGTAAAAAAGAATCATCTTAGTGTGTTTGGGCTGCTATAAAAACAAATCAGACTGGGTGGCTTAAACAATGGAAATGTATTTCTTATTGTTCCAGAGGCTGGGAAATCCAAGATCAAGGTGCTGGCCAATTCAGTTCCTGGTGAGGGTCTTCTTCCTGGCTTGTAGACAGCGACTGTGTCACTATATTTTCAAATCACAGACCACTATGGTGTTTCTTCTTTTCCTTTTTTTTTTTTTCTTGAGACAGAGTCTTGCTCTGTCGCCCAGGCTGCAGTGGCGCAATCTCAGCTCACTGCAACCTCTGCCTCCTGGGTTCAAGTGATTCTCCTGCCTCAGCCTCCCGAGTAGGTGGGACTACAGGCGCACGCCACCACATCCAGCTAATTTTTTATTTTTAGTAGAGACAGGGTTTCACCATGGTGGCCAGGATGGTCTCAAATCTCTTGACCACATAGTCCTGCCTCCTTGGCCTCCCAAAGTGCTGGGATTATAAGCATGAGCCACCACACTCGGCCTCTTCTTATAGGGACTCTAGCTTTATCAGATTAGGGCCCAACTCTTATAACCTCATTTAACTTTAATCACCTCCTTATTCCAAATACAGTTACTTTGGGGGTTGTAACTTCAATATAAGAATTTGGGGCAGTAGGCTGGGCGCAGTGGCTCGCGCCTGTAATCCCAGCACTTTGGGAGGCCAAGGTGAGTGGATCACCTGAGGTCAGGAGTTTGAGACCAGCCTGACCAACATGGCAAAACCCCGTCTCCACTAAAAATTAGCCAGGTGTGGTTTCGCACACCTGTAATCCCAACTACTGGGGAGGCTGAGACAGGAGAATCACTTGAACCCGGGAGGCAGAGGTTGTAGTGAGCCCAGATCACGCCACTTCATTCCAGGCTGGGCAACAGAATGAGACTCAGTCTCAAAAAAAAAAAAAAGAAAGAAAAGAATTTGGGCCAGTAGTGGGCGTGGGATGGCACACAATTCAGTCCACAGCAAGAACTACACAAATACAGATTTTTTTTTTAACTGTATAGGATCAGTTCAGAGATAGCACCCAGCTCACATTGATTTTGCACTTTTTAAACTACAGCAAAATCATGTTCTTTCAAATTTTCTACCTGAGGGGGGAATAACTTAGAATAATCAGGTAAGGCTTATGATAATTTATTATTTACAGAATGCAAAGAGTTCTGGATATGGACAAGGCAAATTTAGATAAGGAGCATTACCAAGTACATACTTCTGTCATTGAGACATGTCTTGGGTTGTGCCTGAGTGTCCTGAATTAGCCTTGTGATTCTCAGTGTGTTTAGGCTTCACTAACTTTCCCCTTTGCCTGTGGATGTTTTCAAATTATGAGGTGTCCAAGCTGAGGGAGATATTTGGGTCAAGAATATTAGATTCTCTTCTTCTATTTGCAAAGAATTGTTGTTATCTATGAAACAAGTGTTTTAGAAAACTTGGTTCATTAGCTCTGGGTACCTTCCCGCATTTTTTGATGTGTTTCTGTGGACTACACTGACCCCATACACAAACTTGATTGCACCTAGAGATATGGTGGTAATGTCACTGGACCTGATCACAAATAAGCTTTAAAAGTTTGAGGTATGTTATTTCACTGAAGGGTAAGTACTTCCGTTGGGAAGTGATTTTGACGATAAATCTTATGTAGGATTAAAAGCCTTTTTGGCCAAGTTCCTAGACTGAGACTATTTTTTTGCTTGTTCATTCATTTTGGTTTGAGGTGTAGGTCAGTCCTGAAACCAAAATCATCAGGAGGTAACAACTGCTGTGTGTGCATGCATGTGTTAATATATTTATGCACGCGTGCGCATGTGTGCATTTTCTCACTAGTAGTGTAACCTAGTATTTATTTCCAATTCCCACGATCCACTGAAAGCAACAGTGGTTTTAGTTCCATGAAGGAACAAATTGGTTCCTGCAGGAGCAGACACTGGTTTCCTACTGGCAAAATCTGAGGGCACCACCAAGCTGATTTGGCAAAATGAACTCCGAACCAGTCTATTCGTCACAGTGAGGGGCAGTTACCAACCAGAATGGCTCACTGGTGTCTAATAAAGACAGGAAGTGGTCTTTTGGCAAGTGGTCATTCTCTCCATCTTGGAGCATATTTCCTCTTGTGACTGGTAGGTATCAGCTATCAGGCAGCCTAATTTACCTGAAAAATGTTGTTAGGCATAGGATGAATTCAGGTTCATGGTGTAACAGTTTAAACAGAAGTAGTGCAGGTATTTCAAGAGGAAGTTTATTTTCTCCTTGAATGTGTATTTTACTCATTGGCAGGGCCACAAGGCTACTAAACATTCCTAATCCATATCACTGCTGCATTTTAGGCAAAACAAGCAAGTACACCTCATTATTTTGTACTGACTGGGTGTCTGTGAACCTCCGTAAGCAGAGCTGTGGTTCTTGTTCCCCATTTTTCCTGTACTCCTTTGGGCTGAACGATTTGTGGGCCCACAAACTACAATAAACTAGAGACATTTTGAACAAGAAATGTATTTGCCTCCTGCAAATACTACCTGATTGAGAAAGTGTGTGAGCATGTGTGTTAACATAAATATGATAAGAAGAACAAGAAGTTTAGTCTGCATGAATAAAGTGGCACTTTTTCTTGATGCCTTGATGTTTTATTTTAAAACTCACCATGTAAGGCAGGAAAATGTCTAAATTTATATTCCATAAAATCTGAGTTCAGCTACTGCGTCTACTTTAATGTGATGTCTTTAGGACATGAACCCATTATGATAATAATCTGATTGGTAAAGAGAGGTCATTAGATATCTTTCTCCAAAGAGATAGCTGCCAGAAAGAAATAGCGATTAGAGGTGTAAAAAAGATTTCTTTAATGTTTCCTGTTTTGCCATTTTATCTGTAGTAAAAAATTTATTCTTCCATGCTCAATAAATTCTGAAGAGTGCTTTGAGTTCAGGGGATAGTAGACTTCTTTACATGCACAATAACTGTTGAATACTGGTTATGAATGGGCTTCCTAACTACACTTTTGATGTATGCATATTGTTTTGATAAATGAAAATACAAATGCACTGAGGAAAAGATAGATCAGATTTTTGTTTCAGAAGGAAACTCAGTGATTCTTACCTCTTCACAAGAAAATGTATTTGATATATCTTTTGCTAGAATATTTTGTAAGCTAGAGGTTTTTTAAAATTTTCTTTCTGAAGTTTTATTAATGCTATTTTTATGGGGAAAAAATTATAACAACCACATAGTTATAGAAATTAGGCCAGGCACGGCGGCTTCTGCCTGTAATCCCAGCACTTTGGGAGGCCGAGGCAGGCAGATCACCTGAGGTCAGGAGGTCAAGACTAGCCTACCCAATATGGCAAAACCTTGTCTCTACTAAAAAAAAAATACAAAAAATTAGCCGAGTGTGGTGGTGGCTGCCTGTAATCCCAGCTACTCAGGAGGCTGAGGCAGGAGAATTGCTTGAACCCAGGAGGCAGAGGTTTCAACGAGCCAAGATCGCACCACTGCACTTCAGCCTGGGCGACAGGAGTGAAACTTCATCTCAAAAAAAAAAAAAAAAAAATTAAACACATTACAAGAGGGGTTGCTTCTTTTGGGGAATTATAGTGCCAGAACTGAAAAATGATTGTGCAATCAGTACACAGCTATATCCCCTTGTTATAGCTGTAGCATAGCTGTAGCAGCTCTGGATCTGGGAGCCACTATATCAAGGCGGCTACTGAGAGGAGCCCATTTCAGCTCTCTGAGCCCCAAGACTCTCCTGGGCATCATTTGAAATCTTTTTGGAGGCAGCCACACTCCCATGGCCCATGCACTCTGCAAACCAGTGAAGATGTGAAGATGGCACCATGCAAATGCCACCAAGATTTACTGCCTGTGCTCTCTGGAGGAGTAGCCACCACTGTACCACGGCTTGCTCGAACCAAACCTAGGGCAGCCGAGGACTACTGCTGACAAGTAGGGAGCAGAGCTTTAAGGTGGCGCTGGGCAGAGAGCCCTGAGATCCCACAGGCACCCTGGTCCTCTCCTTTGAAACGGTCCTGTCCTTGAGGCCCTGGCACTCTGGACTTGTGATGGGAGTGGCAGCCCCACAGATCTTTAAAATGCCTTAAGAGTCACTCTTCTATTGTCTTGATGAATAGCATGTGGCTGGTACATACTAATCTCCTTACTCACACCTTTGGTGTGCTCTCCCGAACATGCTTTCTCATTTGTTACAATATCGGCAGGCTGAGAATTTTCTGCATCTTTAACTTCTGCTTCCCTTTTGATGATAAATTCTGTCTTTGAATCTTTTCTGTCTCCTCGCATTTCCTATAAGCAGTCAAGAGAAGCCGTGCAGCACCCACAGCACTGTGCTTAGAGGATTCTTCTCCCAAATATTCAATTTCACCATCCACGAGCACTACCGTCCACTGAACACTAGGATACCAACACAGTTCAGCCAAGCTCTTTGCCACTTTGTAACAGAGATCACCTTTCCACCAGTTTCCCATAATACGTTCCTCATTTCCATCTGAGACCTCCTCAGGATGGCCTTTACTGTCCGAATTTCTACCAACATTCTGATCATGACCACTTAGGTAATCTCTAAGAAGATTGAAGCTTTGTCTACAACCCTCTTCTTCTGATCCCTCAATGGAGTCATCCTTTAAGATCCATTCTTGGTGATGTAGGCATTTTCTAGCATGCACTTCAGAACTCTTCCAAGCTCTACCCATAACTCAGTTCCAAAGCCACTTCCAGGTTTTTAAGCATTCGTTATAGCCACATTCTATTTTTTGGTAGCAATTTCTGTCTTAGTTCATTTGGCCTGCCGCAACAAAATACTTTAGACTAAGTAACTTACAAATAGTAGAAATATATTGCTGATAGTTCTGGAGCTTGGAAAATCCAAGATCAAAGTGGGATTAGGTTTCAAAATATTAATTTGGGGGGTACACAAACATTCAGACAATAGCACCTCCTTTATAAAACAGGAAGACTTATTTTCATAAAGTTGCTGCAAGAGTAAAATGAGGATGTACCCCCAGCATTTAGCATGATGCCTGACACAGCTCCATGCGGGCAAGAACCACACTCTTCTCATTCTCCTTTGCATGCTCAGTGTTTGATACTGTGTCTGGCACATAGTTGGTCCTCAATAAACACTTGTTTACTGATGAAATAATAAACACAAAATATTAGTTCTTGTTTTCTTAAATGTTTTGTAGCTGCTAAAATGTGATATATGCCGAGTTTTATATATAACTTGTTAAATATTAACACAATAATCCCTCCATATAAATTTCCAGCAAACAAATTTACTTTTTGTATCTTCTTGATTCTAGTATATGAAGCTGTGAATCACTCCTGTTAGACCTGTTGAGTAAAACAGGAAACTTGGGGAAATAAAAAAGGGAAGCAGTGTCAAAAGCAGAATGGATTGCCTCATAGCTATCAACTCATCCTCTCTGCGGTGGGGCTTTTTTTTTGCAGTGAAGTCTTGGAGGAAATAAGGGAACATGAGGGAAGGAAGATCCTGGCCTTGGACATCTCTTTTTATCCTCAGTCAGGAGAAAGACAGACAGAAGTGTGTGGAAGCATAAATGACTCATGTTTTGGCATAAGATTTTTATGGGCAGCCAAGTTACTGGATATCCCCAAGACTTCAGTGGACCCTAAAAGTGCTTAGAGGAAAATGCATAAGTCAGGAAAGCACTGAACACTTGACTGAGGACAGACAAATGCACACCATATTGATTTCAACAAAGCTAAATACTCAGTAAGCAGCGACTCATTAAAAATTGAGTGAGGAGAGTTGCTGAACAGTTTCTAGGAAGCAAAAGATGGCCAATGAAACAAACAGCTCCACACCCAATGTTACAAAATATCATTGCCTTGGGATTTATTTAGTGTTGGTGTTTGTTTTCTATTAATGAACTTCATAGGATTTTAAATTTTACTTTTGACTTCAGCTCCTCTACCATATATTTTTCTTAAAGTCTAGGACTTCGGATTATGGAAAGACTACTGTGTGTGTGTGTGTGTGTGTGTGTGTGTGTATGCATGTGCACACACTCATGTATCCATGTGTACATTACGTTGGCTTAAAACATGTAAAAGTGTGTACATATATGTGCTTGAGATATAGCTCTACACTATATGTATACACACACATACTCAAACATAGGTATGTACACACAGACGACATGTACCTTGCTCTCCTTTAGATGTGGAAACCTCTAGTGTGGAGTCTGTATCATATGGTTCTCATATAGTGCAACATTTATAGCACTGGTTAAGTGCTGAGCACAACATGAGCACTTAACAGATACTAAAAATGTTTTTAAACTTTAAGAGAGGAGAAGTTTAAAAATCCAGTCCCTTTGAAAGCGTTTAAAGTAACATAAAAATTCAAAGGAATAGAGGCACCATTTGGTTAATTAAAGCATCTTCTGATAAACCTTTGATATGGCTGACTGCAACATTAAGTGGCAAAGTGGCCACTTGTCCAGGACAACCCCAAACCCTAAAATTCTTGTGGTGGAGAAAACTATTTGGAAATATTTCTCTAAATTAATTCAAAAGTGTCTGAGGTCTTCTCATTTTTATTGTTCTCCCTAAAGAATATAAAGTGGAAAGAGTAATGAAAATAATTTATTTGAAAGACTGAGAAAATAATTCCTTAAATAGTTTACAAGTAGCCAAAGATGCATGATATTGGTAGTGCTGAAAGGAAGGGAAGAAGAGAGGGAGAGACGGAGGGAGGAAGGAAGGGTGGCAGAGAGGAAGAGAGGGAAGAGGAACAAAGAAACAAAAAGAAAAGAAAAGAAACACTGCAGCTGTGAATTGACTCCAGACCAGAGTATATTCTTTCTTCATCTGAGGTATTCTTAATACATTCCTGAAACTTCCAGAAGGATTTTCAACAGTTGAATGGGCCAAAGGAACTTGCATAGTCTCCACGTCCAAAGGCCAAACTCCGTTAAGGGAATGTAAATATATACCCTTAGGGTAGCATCCAGGGATACGGAATAAAAATGTTTGCTTATTCATGTATATATCCCCAAGACTGTAGAAAGCTCCTCTTCTTAAGAATATAACCTTTCAAGATGCAGGGACAAGAAAAAGCAGAAGAAAGAAAAAATACTAATGTCTCAGCAGCTCGACTGTGCATCTGAGAAAGACTTGACAGGCGACTCGGCACATCACGTCAATCTCATCTTAAAACCAAAATTCTGATGTCATATGGAGATGGCACACTGACATTCACTGAGCTCATGCTTAAGGGATTTCTCATCATGCGTGTTCAGACACTATCCCTTTTTAGAGTCTTGATCTGTGTCTCACTGGCTGAGCACTCAACAGGGAGGGAGTAGGTAGCTCATATTGCTTGCAGAATTTACATAAAGTGCTTAAACAGATATGTAAACCCTGGGTGACTTGCCAGGCATGGTAGTAAAATTTCTCAGCAGGCGTGATACCCTGTAGCGAGGACCTTCTAAATGGACTCACAGGGAGAAATGGGGCGGTTCAAAGGTAAAGACAATAGTTTCAAGCCTACACCAAGGCGAGCTGGCACAGGGATTGCCACAGAAAGAGAGGTGGCAGTGTTTAACCACTCCAGTTCTGGAAAACTCCATCCATCCCTCCTCCACCACCACCACCACCACCACCTCCTCTTGCTCAACACAGTGCTTCAAAGGAGCTTGGTGAATGGGCGAGTCTTGGGCGATGGGACTGAACACAACCTCCTGCTCACTGGGCCACCTGGATTGCCTAATAGCTGTCAACTCATCCTCTCTGCGGTGGGGCTTTAGTGTTGCCCTGAAGACAGCACAGCACAGCGGCTGGTAAGCCAGGACCTTTGATCCTTGCAGTCTCCACTATCGGGGCTTTTTCCCCCTCTTTTTCTGTCTTTCTCCAAACTTTGAAGATAATGAGTCTTAAATATTTGCAAGTAATTAGAAGGTGTGGCTGCCAAGGAAAAGTGAGTATTTTTCTTTTAAATGGGAAGAGTAGGTACTGTGCTCATCACACATCTCTAATTATATCACATGTGCTTATTTGGTCTCTGATAAACTGATCTGGCCCTGGTAGGGAAACCACACCTAGGAAGTAATGAGCCCCTCCTGCAACAATAATAGCCATTAAGAGGCGAGAAGCAGAGTGTCACCATGAGTTAATTATTTATCATTTACTGACAACTTCATCCTTCAACTTGCTTTTCAGCTTCAATATCTGAACAATGGAAGTAAGGGGACTGTGTATTCTCCTACAGGAACAGAGCAGATGATTTCAGAAAATACTATATGAAGTCTCCTTTTATTATGCATTTAAACAATTTTACTGAAAAACAAAGTCACCCTCTATCTCTAGGTTCATTTTTGGTACTTTTCATAGTGTGTGTGTGTGTGTGTGTGTGTGTGTGTGTGTGTGATGAAAGGACACATACAATTTGAAATGTGAGCAATACTTTATTATCCATTGCTAATGAAGAAAAAATCAGAAAGTCTAAAGGAAGCAAATACATAACTAAATGGATCACTGGGATAAAACCTTTACCCATATGAAACGTCCAACAGCTACCCTGAAGGGTAAAAATAAAAATGATAGCTTGGCTTATTCAGTCATTCTCCCACTTGACCGAACAATCTCTCAGCATAGAGAAGATGCACGCAATTATCTCACCCTGTAGGATTTGGCCAAGGTCTATGTAGTAGAACTTTCTTTCCTCCCCTATTTCTATCTCAGATGTAAAAAGGACATTTCAGATCATTTACCCAATGCCTTCATTTTACAAGGAATAAACTGAGGCACAGAGAAAGGCTGTTGGAGTGGCCCACGATCAAAAAATCAGCTAACAACAGATTCAGGTCTTCTGGTCCCACATAGAGTGGCAGCTGTCCTTGCCCTTACCCAGACTTTGCCTGTTCTCCAGTCCTTTAACAGGATGCTCCTAGCCAGCTGAGAGCCTTCACAGGCCTCGCTGCCCGTAGCCCAGCACCTGAAAAGTGAGGTTGTTAAACAGAGGCACTCACAGTCTTTCCTAGTGAGTCCGCTTTTCAATTTATAAAAGATAAAACGTTTTGGTAAGTTGTCAAAGTAGCAAAATGAGCTTCTTCCTCTACTCACATGTGTTGCTATGTGATGTTCACCTATTCTTGGGATTTTGTTTTCTTACACCTTCTAATTGTCTCATTGACTTTACCCTTTTAAAGGTGTGTGTGTGTGTGTGTGTGTGTGTGTGTGTAAACATATATGCATGCATGTATCTACACAAATATATTTTTTCCTGTTCAAACTACTCAACTAAGAAAGATGCATGAGAATATAAATAACACTTGTCTCACCTTTTTGAGTATTGACTTTGGACTATTTAAGAAGGATTTTAGTTTATGAGCTGTTGCCAAAGCATTTCAGTTTTTCTCTGAAGGCACTTCTCTAAGGCAAAATAAGGCTGAATAATGGCTTTTGGGGACAAGGGAAGTGGAAACTTATTTGTTTGTGTTTTTATAGGAACACAAATTAGAATAGGTTGAGGACTCCAGTATCCTCAATCCCAGAGGTATCCAGGGACGCTTCATTCTCAGCTCATGGCTGATTAGTACCCTCTTTTCTGAGAAACACAGGGGTTTGAGTCATTTATAGTATTTGACTAATCTCAGAATTTAAAGGAAAACTCAAAAGACTTTGAAAGTAAAAAGGCCATATAGGGCTGGGTGCAATGGCTCACGTCTGTAATCCCAGTACTTTGGGAGGCGAAAGCAGGAGACTGCTTGAGCTCAGGAGTTCAAGACCAGCCTGGGCAACATAGTGAGACCTCGTCTCTACAAAAAATAAAAAAAAATAGCAGGGCATGGCGGTGCCTACCTGCAGTCCCAGCTCCTTGCAAGACTGAGGCAGGAGGATTGCTTGACCCCAAGAGTTCAAGGTTACAGTGAGCTGTGATCATGCCACTGCACTCTAGCCTGGGCAACAGAGCAAAACCTCGACTCAAAAAAAAAAAAAAAAAAAGTAAAGAAAAGGGCCATATAGTAATATATGATACTAGATTAAAATCACAGGTTTCCAAGATGTCACTCATGGTTTTAAACATTTTACACGTATTAAATCATTTAATCCTTAAGACACCCCTGTAAGGCAGATACCATTATTATACCCACATTTCACATGAGGAAACTGAGACACAGAAGTTAGACAACAAGGTTACACCACTGGTCAGTGCTGAGCCTAGAAGTGGAGCCTGCACTCTGCACCCCAACACACTGCCCCCGGCCCCCGCCCAGTGAAAAGCAGGCTCCGTTCAAGAAACCAGGAAGCATCAGGTTGACATTCCAGGAATAGAAACTTTCTGGAAGCCGCAAGGGCCTCTCCTTTAAACACTCTTACCTACTCACACCCTGATCTAAATTAGGTTTAAGAAATCCAGGTAAGATCAGAATGCCTAAAGGGATGGAGCTCTTGCCGAACAGTGTATATGAAGAGGAATATGGTCTAATCCCAATGCCAATTTGTTCCAAGCGAAAGCAGAAGTCTCGATTTCAGGGGCTTGCCTCTCTAGCTCTCCAGGATCAATGGACCCAAGGATTCGCCAATACATTGTGAAGATGAGACGAGTTGCTGTCAACTTTTAGGAGGTGACCCAGGACACTGAAAGCCATTCTTCCAGAAGAGGCAGGAGCCTGTGATGCCCCTAAACACAGGTGCAACCATATATGTACACACACACACACACACACACACACACACACACGCACCCCAAAGCCTACTTACTTAAGCTCATTTCAACAGAACACTGCCAGACAGACAGACACAGAAATAACTCAGTACAAGATGAGCAATAATTATAAACGAGGTAACAGAGGAACAAGCTGCTGTGGGGATCTAGGAAGACGGTTCATGAGGAAATCATGGCCCTTCCTCCCACCCACCCCTTCCTGAGGAAGGGAGGCGTTTGGTGTGTGGTATTTTTCACCAGGCACACAATGGAGTTAGGTAACTTTGGAAAGAAAGGCAATTTAAATAAGGAGAGGCCTGATGAAGTAAGTTAACGATGTACATTCTTGGGTGGTGAGAAGATAAAACATGTAACAGTAAAAAATACGAGTTCATCAAAAGGAAGAGTGTGTGTATAGTATATTTCAAGATATTTCCACCTCTATTGGTCTTAATTAAAAAGCATGGTTTGGGTCAGGCGCAGTGGCTTATGCCTGTAATCCCAGCACTTTGGGAGGCCGAGGCGAGCAGATCACCTGAGGTCAGGAGTTTGAGACCAGCCTGGCCAACATGGTGAAACCCCATCTCTACTAAAAATACCAAAAATTAGCCGGGCACAGTGGCAGGCACCTGTAATCCCAGCTACTTAGGAGGCTGAGACAGGAGAACTGCTTGAAGCCGGGAGGCGGAGGTTGCAGTGAGCCAAGATCGCACCATTGTACTCCAGCCTGGGCAACAAGAAAAAAATATAAAAAACATGGTTTGGCATGTCGCTTAGGTCTGTTTTAGAATTTTCAAAATTTTTTGTAAAGAGTTTGTCCAATTTTCTGCCACTCACTATCTTTATTAACTTAAAGAATGAATATACCCACCAAAATAAGAAGATGAAAGAAAAAAGAACAAATATACCCATTTTCAGATATATCTTTTAAAGGAATAATTAGAATATGAAGAATTTCTTTATTAAAGAGGGAGTTTAATAAATGTACTAATATTACAAAGAATAGTACTACTGCCAAATATAAATTAACTGGCATCATAATATGCCCTTGTACTTCTTATAATTTGTATGACATTTTAAGATTTTAAAAAAGAAACCATAATTCAGTCTTTAAAACATAAAAATCTTAAAACTCTCCTTTCTCCTTCAGCTTCTAAACATGAAATTCATGGGTCAGAAGCCACGGTCTGAAGCTCAATGTAGATTTTTTAAATAGTATGTCAAATTTTTAAGCTATATATTTAGACACTTTATTTTATGGACCATTTTAGCTTCTATCCCATGGAAGTTCACTGTTTCAGGAACCTGTTTCTAAGAATGCAGTGGGGAACTTGCAGTCATTACCAGAAGACTTTTGGGGGACCTTTTATAACATACATTTCTATTTGACTGTGACAGTACCATGAGGCATTTTTCAACTTGACTCTTACAGAGTTTACTCAACCTAATAAAAGAGGCCTTCTATCTCTAATCATTCGTTTTCCCTCAACCAAAGAAGATCTTTGTCCCATTAGAAAAAAACAGTATTTTTTTTAAATGCAATTCTTAGTACTTAGCTCAGTAAGGTAGGGATGACTTGATTTTCAGGTTTGGTAAGAGTGATGTATTGTTTAAGCAATTTAAGCAACAAGTTTTAATAAATAAATTTTACTGCATTTAAAATTTAAAAAGGAATTCCCAAGCTCCTTAATGAAACTTTGCCTTAAGTTTACATACATATGTAATATATGTGTAAATATAAATCTGATAGACTTAAGAAATAAAATATTCTATTAACTTTGAGGTAGGTATAAATAATAGATAATAAATAGATCTCCATTTTTCAAATAAATGCTTTTTTCCCCATCTTGCAAAAAGAATGTATTCCATATTTATCTATGGCAGCCCTATTCAGAGAGGCAGTTTTATAATGAAACCCCAGCAGGCAACCTTTCTGAACCCAACCTTGAGTACTACTGTTGGAGTTGAAACCCTCACTGACTTAGTGGAGGCAAAGGAATAAAGAATAGGGACTGCTTTTTATTTCATTTATTTTATTTTATTTTATTTTTTAAGAGACAAAGTCTTGCTCTGTCACCCAGGCTGCATAGCAGTGGCAAGATCATGGCTCCACTATAGCCTCAAACTCCTGGGCTCAAGCAATCCTCCCACCTCAGCCTCTGGAGTAGGTGGGATTACAGACACATGTCACCCTGCCCCAGCAGAGCCTGCATATGGAAGAGTGGATGGACAATCCATTCTGCATCAAAAAGTGAGAGCTGACTTTAAATCCAATTCAATAGGTAGATAGTAGGTAAGTAGATGGAGCTTTGCATGTAGGAAATCATAGAAATAGTTTTATAAATTATTTTGTTATCTATTTATTGCCATGAAAATAAAACCATTTACTTTCAGAACTCTACTACCAAAATGTATTTGAGGCTGTGCGTGGTGGCTCATGCCTGTAATCCCAGCATTTGGGGAGGCTGAGACAAGTGGATCACTTGAGGTCAGGAGTTCGAGACCAGCCTGCCCAACATGGTGAAACCCCATCTCTATTAAAAATACAAAAATTAGCCATCATGGTGGCACGTGCCTGTAATCCCAGCTACTCGGGAGGCTGACGCATGAGAATTTGTTGAACCTGGGAGGGACAGGTTGCAGCGAGCTGAGATCGTGCCACTGCACTCCAGCCTGGGTGACACAGCGAGATTCCATCTCAAAAAAAAAAAAAAGTGTATTTGATACTTATTAAATAGTTATCAAATTTCAGAAATGCCAGATTAGAGATTGGCAATCTTTAAGGTTCCTTTTAATTTTACCCTTCATAGATATAAAAATCATTAAAGAGAAACCACTACTCCCTCTACTTTATGGTTGAAAACTTTAGCCCCTTCTAGAAAAATAGTCTATGTGCGCCTTCAAGTCCATACACATCTGAACAAAAGAATCTGCCACACTGTTGGAGTCTCAGAATGCTCAAAACTAGCAATGTCACTGGGCACTCCCATGGTGCGGTACTTCAGCCAAGGCCTAAAAGCAACTATTCTCCAAACACAGTTTCAAAACCCTATAATTATAAAATTCTGTTTGTGGCCTTTCAAAGTTGCTGTTTGTAACATTTTTAAAGTCTAGAACACAAAAACCACCATTCTAAATGATAGAAGGTTGTTTTTTTTTTTCACCTCATCAGTTATTTATGCCACTCAAACACATCATTGTGTTTACTGTTCAGCTTCTATATCATTAGGGATGAACAATAGGAAAAAAATAATTGCCGAACAGACAAAATTCTGGCAAATTGATAGGATAATGACATTATAAGTAAATAATAATTACACAATAGTATAGCTTGTGCTAATATAACTTATTGTGCCTACTGAGCCTACAATTAGCATCAATGTTTTTAATACCAGCCAAATTAATTTCATAGTTGACATTTCTAGCACAAAGTATTAGTAATTTTCAATCTTGTATTTTCTAATCCCAGAACCACCTACTGATACTGGAGAATGTTTAGAACTACTAACTGCGATGGCCGGGCACGGTGGCTCGCGCCTGTAATCCCAGCACTTTGAGAGACCAAGGCAGGTGGATCAACTAAGGTCAGGAGTTTGAGACCAGCCTGGCCAACATGGTGAAACCCTGTCTGTACTAAAAATACAAAAATTAGCCAGGAGTGGTGGCGGGTGCCTATAATCCCAGCTACTTGGGAAGCTGAGGCAGGAGAATTGCTTGAACCCGGGAGGCGGAGGTTGCAGTGAGCCAAGATCAAGCCATTGCACTCCAGCTGGGCCACAAGAGCAAAAAAAAAAAGAACTACTAATTGTGAACTAGAGCTAGAGCTTTATAATTCTACTTTTTATAAAGTCATCCCATCATTGCCTCTGCTTAGAGGTCTAACAATTCTTTGCCCATAGGAGTCCCCTAAAATATAACAACTAGATGATAAGTGAGTAAATAATTTGAAACACCCTGGCCAAGTGTATTAGTCCATTCTCACACTGCTATAAAGAACTACCTGAGACTGGGTAATTTATTAAAAAAAGGTTTAATTGACTTACACTTCTGCACACTATATAGGCTTCTGCTTTTGGGGAGGCCTCAGGAAACTTACCATCATAGCAGAAGGTGAAGAGGAAGCAAGCACATCTTCACTTGGCTGGCGGGAGGGGTGGGTGAGGTAAAACACACTGTCTTTTTTTTTTTTTTTTTTTTTTGAGATGGAGTCTTGCTCTGTCGCCCAGGCTGGAGTACAGTGGCGTGATCTCAGCTCACTGCACGCTCTGCCTCCCAGGTTCTTGCCATCCATTCTCCTGTCTCAGCCTCCCAAGTAGCTGGGACTACAGGCACCCACCACCATGCCCAGCTAATTTTTTGTATTTTTAGTAGAGATGGGGTTTCACCATGTTAGCCAGGATGGTCTCAATCTCCTGACCTTGTGATTTGCCTGCCTCTGCCTCCCAAGGTGCTGGGATTACAGGTGTGAGCCACTGTGCCTGGCCAGTACAACACACTTTCAACCAACAGAGCTCAGGAGGGCTCTATTACAGCACAGTGAGGAGGATGGTGCTAAACCATGAGGAACCACCCCCGTGATTCAGTAACCTCCTACCAGGCCCCTCCTCCAATACTGGGGATCACAACTTGACAGGAGATTTGGGTGGGGACACAGAGTCCCAGACTATATTATTCCACCTGGCCCCTTCAAAATATCATGTCCTTCTCACATTTCTTTTTTTTGGGGGGGGTAGGGGGCAGGGAGACAGAGTCTCACTCTGTCACCAGGCTGGAGTGCAGTGGTGCGATCTCAGCTCGCTGCAACCTCCGCCTCCCAGGTTCAAGTGATTCTCCTGCCTCAGCCTCCCGGGTAGCTGGGACTACAGGTGCACGCCACCATGCTCAGCTAATTGTTGTATTTTTGGTAGACACGGGGTTCACCATGTTGGCCAGGATGATCTCAATCTCCTGACCTCATCATCCTGCCGCCTCGGCCTCCCAAAGTGCTGGGATTACAGGCATGAGCCACCACACCTGGCCCCTTCTCACATTTCAAAACACAATTATGCCTTTCCAACAGTCCCCCCAAATCTTAACTCATTCCAGCATTAACTCAAAAGTCCAAGTCCAAAATCTCATCTGAGACAAGGCAAGTCCCTTCTACCTATGAGCCTGTAAATTAAAAAACAAATTAGTTATTTCTAAGATACAATGGGGGTACAGGAATTGAGTAAATGCTCCCATTCCAAAAGGGAGAAATTGGCTGAAACAAAGCGGCTACACATCCCACGGAAGGCTGAAACTCAGCAGGGTGATTATTAAATCTTGAAGCTCCAAAACAGTCTCCTTTGACTCCATGATTACATCCAGGCAACACTGATGCAAGGGATGGGCTCCTAAAGTCTTGGGCAGCTCAGCCCCTGTGGTGGTTCTGCATGGCTCCAGCTCCCATGGTTGCTCTCAAAAGCTGGCATTGAGTGCCTGCAACTTTCCCAGGCATGTGGTGCAAGCGGCCAGTGAATCTACCTTTCTGGGGTCTGGAGGATGGTAGCCTTCCTCTCCAAGCTCCACTAGGCAGCGCCCCAGTGGGGAGTCTGTGTGGGGTTCCAACCCCACATTTCCCCTTAGCGCTGCCCTAGTAGAAGTTCTCTATAAGGGCTCCACCCCTGTAGCAGACTTCTGCCTGGACATCCAGGCATTTCCACACATCCTCTGAAATCTAGACAGAGGCTCCCAAGCCTCAACTGTTGCCCTCTGCACACCTACAGGCTTAATACACATGGAAGCTGCCAAGGCTTGGGGCTCGCATCCTCCGAAGCAATGGCCTGAGCTGTACCTTGGTCCCTTTTAGCCATGGCTAGAGTTGGAGTGGCTGCGATGCAGGGTGCCATGTCCCAAGGCTGCACAGAGCAGCAGGGCCCTGGGCCTGGCCCAGGAAACCATTCTTCCCTCCTAGGTTTCCAGGACTGTGATGGGCAGGGCTGCTGCGAAGGTCACTCAAATGCCGTGGAGTCATTTTCCCAATTGTCTTGGCTATTATCATTCGGCTCCTCTTATGCAAACTTCTGCAGCTGGCTTGAATTCCTCCCCAGAAAATGGGTTTTTCTTTTCTGCCACAGGGTCAGGCTGTCAATTTTCCAAACTTTTATGCTCTACTTCCCTTTTAAATATAACTTCCAGTTTCAGACCATTTCTCTGTTTATGCAGGTGAGCGTAGGTTTTTGTAGCAGCCAGGCCACATCTTAATGCTTTGCTGCTTAGAAATTTCTTCTGTGCCAGATACCCTAAATCGTCTCTCTCAAGTTTGAAGTTCCACAGATCACTAGAGCAGGAGAGCAGTGCCACTAGTCTCTTTGCTAAAGCATAGCAAGAGTGATCTTTACCCCAGTTCCCAATAAGTTCCTCATCTCCATCTGAGACCTCCTCAGTCTGGACTTCACTATCCATATCACTATGAGCATTTTGGTCACAACCATTCAACAAGTCTCTAGGAAGTTCTAAACTTTCCCTAATCCCCCTGTCTTTTTCTGAGCCCTTCTGTTCCAACCTCTGCCCATTACCTAGTTCCAAAGCTGCTTCCACATTTTCAGGTATCTTTATAGCAATGCCCCAATTCTCTGGTACCAATTTTCTGTATTAGTTTGTTCTCACACTGCTATAAATACTACCTGAGACTGGATAATTTATTTTAAAAAGAGGTTTAATTGGCTCACAGCTCTGCAGGCTGCACAGGCTTCTGCTTCTGGGGAGGCCTCAGGAAACCTACAATTATGGCAGAAGGTAAAGGGAAAGCAAGCACATCTTCACATGGCAGCAAGAGAGGGAGGGGAGGTGCTACACACCTTCAAACAACCAGATCTTGTGGGAGCTCTATCACAAGAAGAGCAAGGGGGATGGTGCTAAACCATTAGGGACTGACCCCCATGATTCAATAACCCCCCACCATCTCCCTCCTCCAACACTAGGGATCACAACTTGGCAGGACCAAGATTGCACAAAGAGGACTACAGGAATATTACTCAAAGATGGCAGAGGGGCTCCACATTTTCTTTTCCAAGTCTTGATTCACTTATGCAGAGTACATTTATATTAAATAATTGGTTGTCTTCAAGAAAATGCAAGTGTCCTGGCACATGCCAAGTGTTCCCTAAAGACACCTGTGATGATAATGTGACGATAAAGCCCTCAAGGACCTGGCTGGATAGAGAACACCTGGAACTCACCACACTGTGGCCTCTTTAGAGCAGGGTAGAGTGTATGTTGTTGTTATGCTTGTTGTTTAAAGAACAAGCCCTGGATGATAAAACATTTTTTTAAAAAGTGGTCAGTTGTGATGACTATTAGTTTCCTGGAGATGGATAGTCATGGTGGGCCCAGAGGGAGGAAGGGGCGGTTAGGAAGATTACAGTAGATTTGCTGATATTCGGATGTATTTCTTGCTTGATCAGAATAGAGAGAGAGGCTGAAAATATGGACAGCAGGAATTTCCAAACACGTCCTAGGATGCAGTCATGTGTTTAATTTCTCAAAGTCACATGGCAGCTGGAAGAGGATGTGGGAGGGTGGAGCAGGGAAGCTGATGAAAAAAGAGGGAAGCACACCATCTGCAATGCAAACTGGTAAACCCTGGAAGCCCATTGGGAGATTCTGCCTGCAGCGGGATCAACTGGAGGGTAGAGCACGTGCTGGCCTTTTCCCACTTCCACTCTTCTCTCCCAATTCCAACATGATGACATCAGGAACAGCCAGTGATACCAGTGTCAGAAAGACTAAGATTCAGAGGTAGAACTGGCCCTCACTTGTAGTTTGAGAAAGTGACTTTTCCTGCCTCTGTTTCCCTGCTAGTAATACTGGGTGCTAGCCTCGCTGAATTGTTCATTCACTGCTATCTGTTTTGTTCCCCTTGTCCACTTTGTCAGGAGCACTGGAACGGGATTACCTCCGAGGTCGGCTGGGATCTCACGCATGGAGGATACAAGCATGTAATTCCCTTCTGAAAGCCATAGTATTACAACAATTCTAGTTTGTATGTTTCAGTTATTAAGAGGCTGCTTAATAATATCACCACACAAACGGAAATATTGAAATGAATCTGACTAAAGCTTTTTATACTAATGGCAAATTCTATTTTTGGCTGTATTTCAATAAGGATACTTGTTTTCTAGTTATCTGAAAGACGGAAAAACAATCATGTTTTACTGACTGGAAATTTATTTATGTGACTTACAAAAAATCAAGACCTGATTTTAAGACATTGTTTTTACTAAGTTTAAAGTTTTGAAAGCATTATGCTCTGGAAAACAAAGGACCACTAAAGGAGATCTGGTATGTTTTGAAAGCAAAGAACTACAACATCAGGTGCCCTATAGGACCAAAACCTAGGTATCATTTTTGCATAATGTGTGTGTATACATATATACACACACCTAGGTATCATTTATATATACACACACACACACACACACCCCTAAGTATCATTTTTGCATAATGTGTGTGTGTGTGTGTATATATATATAAAAATTGCTATAGCGTATTTTTCCAAAAGAACCTACAGTTCGGGGGTGGGGGGGTTGTTTTGTTCCATATAGAAAATTGTATTTGTCTTTATAGCACAGACAAATGAGATAAAGGTTGTGCTATATCTTACATTTTAAGCTGAAAAATGAAGGGCAGTCAGAAACAAAGGCAGAAACACGTCCCAGGTCTCTTAACTTTTACTCCAGGACTCTCTGTACTAATTTTTGGACTGTCCATCCATTTCTCTGGTGAACCTAGCAATCTTTTTGTTGAACACAATTATTTCTCTGCATAAAGTTGCTTATTTAGAATCATAGACTATTAAACCTAAAGGGAATGAAGAGAGTCTCATTGTAGGAGTATGCTGTTTACCTACAGAGGAAGGAGCAGAGGCTCATACAGGTAAAAGGCTTTCTCTTTGTCAAATAGTCCATCAGCCATATCGCCCTACAAGAGCCTCGATTTTGTTATCGCAAGCCTTTCTCTTAGAAGGTTGGCCACCACAATGCCATTGTTTGTATCAAAAGAGCCAGTGCATTTTTCCAAAGGGCCTAACTTTCCCCCACTGAAAATCCAGCTGGTAAAATAAAATTTAAAATTGGTTAATAGGCCGGGTGCAGTGGCTCACACCTGTAATCCCAGCACTTTGGGAGGCCAAGGTGGGCGGATCACTTGAGGGCAGAAGTTTGAGACCAGCCTGGCCAACATGGTTAAACCTCATCTCTACTAAAAAAAAATACAAAAATTACTGGGGCATGGTGGCGGATGCCTGTATTCCCAGCTACTCAGGAGGCTGAGGCACGAGAATTGCTTGAACCCAGGAGGTGGAGGTTGCAGTGAGCCAAGATTGCACCACTGCACTCCAGCCTGGGCGACAGAGCGAGACTGAATCTCAAAAAACAAAATAAAGTAAAATAAAATAAAATAAAATTGGCTAATAGTAAATTCATGATACCTCAGTTTAACAGTTTGGTTGTGGTCAGTCTTGATATCTTATTATGTGGTATTTTTTAATATTTTACTTTCCTTATAGCCTAGTAGTTTGGACCCTCGAGGTTAATTGATTCTTCAAAGGTGCCTGTTTAATTTGCCTTAACATATGACCTTGTGGGCCTTTTCTCTCAGTACTGACCAGTATTGAGAGATAAAATTTCAATGAAAAAAACTGACCAAATATACTAAACTTGTTTTCACCAGGCTAAAGATACTACAATCTCTCTGCACATTTTATCTGCCATGTCATGTCTTGCCATTTCTGTTCAATGGTTTGTAAAAAGAAAACTTTGTATCACATGCTAAACAGACATTGCTGTCCTTAACTTTTAATGCTACCAACAGTGCTCCAGGCACTAAACAAAACCCAAAGAGCAGCACCTCCCCTTAGTGTATCTAAATAATAGATTGAAGAGCAGGTTGCACATGTGCATATATTTTAATCAATATGCATTTACTGTGGCTATAAATGACACTAAAACATCACTACTCCCCAGGTGTCATTACCACCCACAATCACCCAATGGGCATTCTCCTACTTTATGTTGTTAAGTGTTCCTGAAAAGTTGCACGTAAATCAAATAATGTTAGATACAGTTGAGTAACCTATTATGGAGAATCCTTTATGAAGCAATAGGTAGCATATTATTACCTTATAGAAATTTGGTACAAATTTCTGGCATTTTCTCTTGTAGTTACCTATTTTAAATTCTGTGAGGCAATTCATTTCTTCATTCAATATTGTTAAATTCTCACTGTATACAGTACAACATAGAAAAAGTACCCACTTACAAGATAGGAAAAGCCATATATATCTATAACACAAGGGAAAAAGAAATATCTCCCCAAAATGACAACAACTAAAATAGAAATGGTAGAAAAATTCAAAGTGAAACAGAAAAACGGACATAAAATTTATAATGCATTTACAGAAGCTCTAACATACTTTTTATATAAATAAAGATGAGAGATAATAAATACCGGAGAGAAATCTGTATATGATTAGAGTGGTATTATTTCCTTTGGTTTAGCTCTCTGGTAAATATGTCTTAACAAAATGTTTAAATCCCAAAATACGATTAGTGCATGTCACTAGAAAAAAAGTTAAGAAGAAAAACCCACAGCTGATCAGGGTGGCTCATGCCTGCAATCCCAGCACATTGGGAGGCCGAGGCAGGAGGGTTGCTGGAGAACAAGAGTTTGAGACCAGCCTGGGCAACAGCGGGAGACTCTGTCTCTACAAAAAATAATTTTAAAAAAATTAGCCAGGCGAAATGACATTAAATCTTTAGTCTCGGCTATTCTGAAGGCTAAGACAGGAGGATGGCTTAAACCCAGGAATTCGCGGCTGCAATGAGCCATGATCACGACACTGCATTCCAGCCTGGTGACAGAGATCTTGTCCCCCCAAAAAAAAGAGAAAAAGAAAAACCCATTTCTCCTTTCATGCGATATCTGGCATTGCTACCTCTGCCATGACATGTACAAGCTCTTTGGGCCAGCTGGTAAAAGTGTGTGTTAATTTAAAATAACCTGTTTGTTAATTGCTTTCAACCCAAGTCATTTTGTTCCTGCACTTTGAACCCTAAAGGTAGTTTGGAATAAATGCGGCTGGGAATGAGAAGTAATTAATGCAAGCAGGCAGCCGTGGCTGCAAGAGCCGGGGATGGAGTGGGGACGGCCTGAAACTGGTGTTTGTGCTCTGAGGAACTGATCCCGCTGGTTTGTTGTTAGATTTTTTTTTCCCCCTTTCCTTCTGCCGTCTAGTTGCAGGCTACCACTGGAAGCTTCTGCCAAAGCGGGCTATCCCATCAGCCCTCTGGCACACTGTGTTGATCAGTAGATAAAACCTTCCCGGCAGTCACAGCCGCCGCTGCCACTGACGAGGCCACAGCAGCGAGCAAGCGGCTCTGCGGAATTCACTAACTGCCTCTCCACCTGCCGTCACCTCCTTGGGTCCCTCAAGGTTCTCCTTGTGGCTGATAGTCATGGTGATTGCTTGACCTCGGGCCTTGCAGCTGGCTGGCTTCCAGGAAGCTCCTCTGATGACAAGGTGTGCTGAAGTCTGTGTTCACGGGCACGGCATTCAGGCGCAGAGCGTGGGATGCGGGAGAAAAACCTGCTGCCGTTGCTAATGGCCCCAGTGTTCTTCCCTCGCAGGCAGAAATTATGCAGGCTTCTGTCTCGCGGCTTCTCCCTTTACCCAGCGCCTTGTATGTACTGGGAGACCAGACTGTGACCACCTCCAGGGTGACAGGAAGCAGCAAAAAATAAAAACAAAAAATGACAGAAAGACATGCATTGTATTTTCCAGCCTGTTGAAGCTTCCTTTACTGCATACTCTTGGAAAAAAAAAAAAAAACTGTCTTGCCAGTGATTTACACATGACTGGAACATTTTAAAACCTAGGCAACACACACGTATTTATCTGATTGATGCTTCTCTAATTCTTTGAAGTCCTCAGGCCATCTAGGAAGTTATGTCAATTTATAATTTTCCAGTGACCCGTGTGTGTGCGCGCATGTGCACACACGTGTGTGTTTTGCCAAATGAGGAACTGGCATTAGGGCAATGGTTAATGTAATATTAGTTGGTGTGGCTGAAAGCAAAAATTGCACTTAAAAGATTGAGCTGAGGTGAAACCAGCCAGACGACTTTTCCCAGAACGTGTACAACGCCCTCTGTGAAAATCTGCTTTTTCTTGGCAAACTTATTTTTGCTTTAATGTAACAGGGAAGCGTGTCTCATCCTGGAATGATTTGGCCCAATTTCACTATGGTTGGGGATTGGGAGGATTTGGGAAAAAACACAGTGGAGCCTTTCCAGAGTCAAACCTAACATTGTGTCAAAAGTACAGAAATTTGATGAAATCGTAGTATCAATACTTGAAGATGTACTGCTTGAAGATTTCTCTCCCAAAGGACTCCTGATTATACCTAGTTTTTGAACCTTGAATACATAGCATCTAGTTTTCTATCTTAAAAAACATGAAGCAATGGTAATACTGGCCTGCTCTTCCAATCACTAAATCAAACTTAAATTTGTGTTTTGTTTCCTTTATTTTTTAAAAATATATTTCAGACCTCTTTCAAACATATTTTTTGTTGATCCTTACAACTACGCTGGTGAAAAATTATCTGCTTTCTGCAGGTGTGCAAAATGAGACTTGGATTAAGAAAAAAAAATGTCGGCCGCGCACAGTGGCTCATGCCTGTAATCCAAGCACTTTGAGAGGCCGTGGCAGGAGGATCACGAGGTCAGGAGTTCAAGACCAGCCTGGCCAATATGGTGAAACCCAATCTCTACTAAAAATACAAAAATTAGCCAGGCGTGGTGGTGCGTGCCTGTAGTCCCAGCTACTCAGGAGGCTGAGGCAGAAGAATTGTTCAAACCTGGGAGGTGGAGATTGCAGTGAGCTGAGACCACGCCACTGCACTCCAGCCTGGGTGACAGCGCAAGACTCTATCTCAAAAAAAAAAAAAAGTGTCAGTTACCCTAGCTAATCAATGGTGAAGTTGGGATACAAACACAGCTCTTCTGATTCCAGATGGCTATTTTTGTCTTTACATGGAAAATTTTCTAGTTTTTCCTAGTTTCTCTCGTCTAGAGATGGCACAGGACCAGAATAGGACCTTCTCAGGACAGACCTACAACTTGGGCCTGGGAATTAACCAAACTGGCATGAGAGTGAAGAGGCCGGTGTGCTCCCTGCCACGGCATTCAGGTCCACAACAACGTTCAGCTCTTTGTCATACTCTGTTAATCCATCTTTGTCTCCTTTCTCTTTCATCATTTATTCATCAGGACCAGCCTTAAGGCAAAGTGAAAGGCCAATTCCACTTTGTATGTTTTTGTTATCCTTAATTTTTGTTATAGTCATTTTTACCAAACAAGTCTACAAGCAGCCTCTGCATTAGGTTGCTTAGATATTTGTTTGTCTGATTAATTAGAATCCTTCTAAGGGTTAAGTATGTTCAAGACTGTATGGGTCAGGTTTGCATTTTTATTTTATGATTACTCACTTCCCACAAGGACTATCATTCTCCAAGTTAAAAAAAAACTGTCTGGAATATATTATAAACTTGCCACAACACCTGCCTATATTTTTGAATTGAGGTTTTCCTTCTCACAGTCACTCAAAGGGATAATACTAATGTTTACAGCAACGAAGTCGGAAGGAGCCTTCCTCCCAGATCAGCTTCCTGGAAAGACCTGGAAATTCCTCCTCCTAAGTTTCCTTTATACCATGTAGGCATTGTTCCTATCTCCTCTCCCCCTGCTTTTTAGTTACTCCTCATATTCCCAGCACTACTCTTCTACCTTGCACGCCTTTGCACCTTCATCTCTGAAAGTCTTCCTAAAACTTCCTCTCTGAGGTTTTCCATGACTAAGGCAGAGAGACCGAGGAAGCCACAGCTGGAGCTGCACCCATTTGCACAACAGCACATACATGTGGTCTAAAATAAGCAATCCAGAAACCATCTCTTTCACCCACCTGCCAAGCTCCCCTTCCCTCAATGGAGAGAGAAAATTATCTGGAAGGCCTGAGTTCTCAGAGACTGGTTCCACATGAATGCTCGCTTGTATTTGCATGGTACCTCTCTTGCAAGGTGCCCAAAGTGCTATGTAAGTGGCTCACACATTTTTCACAACTGCTCTTTGACATAGATTGTCAACAAACACCATTATTCCTAGACAGTAGTTGAAGGTGACTGAACTTTAGGGAAGTCAGGCAGCTCCCAAAGACAGAGCAGGACTGAGACCTTGCACTAAACTACACTTATCAGAGCAGGCCAGGCACGCAGCAGAGACTCAACTGAAACACAGTCAGGCCAAAACCAAATACAGTTTTTAAAAACTCAAACAGGAGAAACCACTTTCTGAACCACTAATAATCTCTGAATAACTTTAACATGGATCCAAGGTGATGGTTAATAAAATAGACGCCAGTGTAGACACTGTTTGCATGGGAGGCAGGATCTAGGACATTGGCAACTGATAAATAAAGGAAAGGACAGAGAGAAAAAAGACAAAGTTGTACAATGCCAGCCGTGGGACTCAATGGGAAGACACCATTTAACTTACCTGAGACTTCTAGACACAGGTCACTCTGTTTTTGCCAACAACAGGAACCAATCTTTGGAACTTTTTGAACAAAGGGGAGGGGATATTGCCTTCATGACCTTTATCTCTATGAGACCAGACAGAAAGTTATGGTTACAAACTAATCCCAAGTCATTCTCGCCTTTTCTTTTTTTTTTTTTCGAGATGAAGACTCGCTCTGTCGTCCAGGCTGGAGTGCAGTGGCGCAATCTTGGCTCACTGCAACCTCCACCTCCCGGGTGCAAGCAATTCTCTGCCTCAGCCTCCCTAGTAGCTGGGATTACACGCGCCCGCCACCACACCCAGCTAATTTTTGTATTTTTAGTACACACGAGGTTTCACCATCTTGGCCAGGCTGGTTTTGAACTCCTGACCTTGTGATCCACCCGCCTCAGCTTCCCAAAGTGCTGGAAATACAGGCGTGAGCCACCGTGCCCATCCCATTCTCACTTTTTCTAAGACACAGAGTGAGATGTATTGTTTGTATTTATTTTGCCTTTGTTTATTTAAGGATAATATAAATAATATAAATAATATAAATAATATTACATTTCCTGCAGCAGAAACCTCTCTAGCATAAATGTTTATCATAACAGAGGTTCCCATTGAAAGGAAAGGTCTGCTTCCTTATGCAAGTGGGCATCCTTATGCAAGCTGGATATATCGCAGAACAGTGCTGCACCTCAGTCACTCTGAGGCGGGTGACAGAATGGCTCTCTCGGTGGCCTGAGAGCACCTGAGCACAATTTCAGGGGAAGTCTATGATAAGAGGTGATCCTAGATCTTTCTTGAGTATACCATAGGAAGATATTTTCCCATACCCATATTTTTATGCCTTTCTTTTTAAAATGTTCTTTGTATTGAATGTCTTTATAATAAGTACATTCATTCAAAAGTCATATAGTCTATGGTTTCAGCAGTTTCAAAAGAAAGGGCTGAGTGGAATAGTGATGCATTTTGCACCTCCCTTTTTTTAAGAGAGACAGGGTCTCACTCTATCACCCAGGCAGGAGTACAGTGGTGCAATTATGGCTTGCTGCAGCCTCAACCTCCTGGGCTAAAGCGATTCTTCCACCTCAGCCTCCTGAGTAGCTGGGACTACAGGTGCACACCACCACGCATGGCTAATACTTTTTATTTAATTTTTTGTAGAGACGGGGTCTCACTATGTTGCTTAGGCTGGTCTCAAACTCCTGGACTCAAGTGATCTACCTGCCTCAGCTTCCCAAAGGGCTGGGATTACAGGCATGAGCCACCGCAACTGGCCTACGTTCCTTTCTTTGTAAGGAATGAGGATCAGGAACTGTTTTCCTCATTTCAGTGTTACTGACATATCTATTCTTTTCCTATTTTAAGCTAGAATTTTAGGTTTACTTTACTTCTTGAGTAAATCTCATTCTTTCAACCATTCTTTCAGAAATTTAGAAGGAGTTGAAATCAGTATGTTTTGTATGAATTATAACCTCCTTTCATAAATTTCACAGAGCATTTCTATGTCATGATTCTTTTTCTGAAATCTTTGGAAAGAAAACTGAAACCTATTCTCTAGGCAAATACTTCTGTTTGATAAAGGAAGAAAGGACATTCTCATTTACTTTTCCTTTCAATGTCATTGTTGCTTATAAATGTGTTTTTTTCTGTCCAGATATTTCCTTAACACCTACCTTGTGCTGTGTAGACTTGGCCTATGAGCATGCGGTGAGGAATGGAGGAAGCGCTCCAGCTACAAGACATGAACAATGTCCTCCTCGCCTGCATGGAGGGAGGTCCCAAGTCATAAACCCACAGAGAAGGCCGCAAGAGCCGCGGATGTCCCTAGAGTGAGGAAAGGACAAATCAACCCTTTAACTTTGCTTCCCTTCCCCCTGCACCACTGCTGAGTGTCTCAGCTTCAGTTTCTGATCAGTCTTGCCAGAGCTGTGTCCATTCTCTCCCTTCCTTTTCACATTCTAACCCCTCTTAGCCTTGGTACCTGGGTGGTGGGGATGGGGAGGAAAGAGGAGAGACAACGAGGTGGCGAGAGATGACAGTGCTCATCACCTTTAAGTGGGTTCCAGCTCAATGCTAAATTCAGCATCAGCTGCCAGGCAGCTTCCAAGGGTCCCTCGCATGAGGCCCCTCTTGCCCAAGGATCATGCTGGCCTCAGCATTTCTGACAGACCTCACCTTCCAGCGGCTACCAATCTTCCCTCAAGGAACCCTCAAAACACTGCCTGTTTTTCTTCTCCTCTTTTTTTGTCCCTGCCTTCAGCACAAAAACCAGGGGATTCTTTGGATTTTCTTTAGAATATCCAATCAAGGGACAAAAAGGCACAGACAGACAAACCATTACAACAGAAGCAATACCCAAACAGAAAGACTCTCTTTCCAGAATTTAGGAATTGGCAGGAGGTTCCTTTTCCCATCTTTGACACCTCTAGAAGCCCACAGTCTAACTAAGAGTTAGCTGTGAATACATTACATAAAGACTCAAAATTACTGCAGAGTAAATATATCTAAAGATTTGAGCTACCTTACAAGAGCTAAAATTGAGTAGAGAATGGTTATACTATTCTTCACTAGATAAGAAGTTTAAATTCAAAAACAAATAAATAAAAGGTAATTCGTGCTCAAGTGGCCCAAAGGCCTATTGCAGATACGGCTGGAGAGCAGAGGAACAGTCTAGGTACCATATGCACTCCCTGGGCTGAGTCCACACGGCCAGTCCTGGTGGCAGTGAATGTGGGACCTGGCCCTCATAAGAAGGCATAGTACGCTGGACTCAGTGTCTCATGCCTGTAATCCCAATATTTTGGGCAGCCAAAGCAGGTGGATGACTTGAGCTCAGGAGTTTGAGACCAGCCTGGCAACATGACGAGACCCTGTCTCTACTAAAAAAAAAAAAAAAAAAAAAAAAAAAAAAAAAAAAAAGAGGGGGCACGGTGGTGTGCCTATAGTCCCAGCTATTCAGGAGGCTGAGGTGGAAGGACACTTGAGCCTGGTGGGGCCAAGGTTGCAGTGAGCCAAGATCCTGTCTCCAAAAAAAAAAAAAAAAAATATCAGTAGAATGGAAAGCTCAAGATGAGTCACTTTCATTTATTTTACCAACAAAATTCCATTGTTAGACGCATGGGGAGAGAAAAGGCCAGTGTCATGGGAACACAAAATAGAGTTCACATTTCTAAGTCTTTCTAAGGTACAAGGTGGATTTTTACAACAGTTTCAAATAATCTAAATCCTTCCCTAAATGCTGCCTGTGCATATTTACACACTGTCAGCTTATCAGATAGTTCAACTATAAGCAGTTAAATGCTAATTAGAACTTTGTCACACCGATCAGCTTTGTAAAACATGGGAAGGTGCCAGTGCAGCATCCCCTGGCCTGGCCAGCTGATGGGCCCTTCCCATCAGCAGTCCATAAGGTAGGATGTGGCCTCAGGTGGTTCTGGATTATCTCATTAGAGCTGTAGTGAGAAGCTCACTAGAGATTTAAATTCTAAGGCCCGAGGCCCTTAAGGCTAAGTTGAAAAGCCCAAGTACTCAGTGCCATCGCTCTATTAAAACTGGGATGAAAAGAAAGCTGGGAAGGAACTGGTCTGAAAAGCTAGCTGAAAAGAAAGCTGTTAGCCACCCAGACCTGGTCCCAGCCACAAGGATCTGACATTTGGAACATAAAGCTATAGTGTGGCCTTAACTCCGAGATATTCAAATAGATGAGAAAAAGGGTAAATAATTTTAGCAAAAATGTGTCATCATTTTCAAGACCCAGACTACCAGATTCTATAATAGAAAACTGAGAAGATAAGATAAAACATCTAAATACATGTTCTGCCTAAGATTACTTTTGAGGTTTTGTTTGTTGTGTCACTGAATTCTGCCCAAAACTTGTGTACAATTTGCTTATTGTCTTGACACCGTCCCCCAACCATTTCCATTTATTTATTTTTCTAAGATTTTCTTTCCAACCGAAATAGACTAGCCAGGGTAACGCCACAGCCCCAAATAACATTGAGTTGGGATAAATGAGAGGTACTTCAGTTGTTCAGGCAGTATCCTTGATAACTCAAAAGACAATGTTTATCTAATTTAAACATAAACAAACAAAATTTTTAAATATAAGCCTGAGGACAACACAAAACTGAGAAGTAGAGGGGGTTTGTTCATGTAAATACCCAGTACTACATGGAGAATCTAGCCCCAGTGGTGAACACCTTGGTACAGCTTCACCATTAAAGATATACTAAAAAAACAAACAAACAAACAAAAATCCCATCTATTATAGGAAACAACAAATGCAACAAAATCCTTTTTTTTTTTTTTTTTGAGATGGAGTCTCACTCTGTCACCCAGGGTGGAGTGCAGTAGCGTGATCTTGGCTCACTGCAACCTCCGTCTCCTGGGTTCAAGCAATTCTCTGCCTCAGCCTCCCGAGTAGCTAGGATTGCAGGTGCCCACCACCATACCTGGCTAATTTTTGTATTTTTAGCAGAGACAGGGTTTCACCATATTGGCCAGGCTGGTCTTGAGCTCCTGACCTCGTAATCTACCCGCCTCGGCCTCCCAAAGTGCTGGGATTACAGGCATGAGCCGCTGCGCCCGGTCAACAAAATCTTGTTCTAAGAAATATCAAACGGGGATTGGGGCGGTTATTTTCTACGCTGAAAAATCCCCTATTTAAGACCCTATGCCATGGTTTGAATATGTCCTCCAAAATTCATGTGTTGGAAACTTAGTCTGCAATGTAACAATGTTAAGAGGTAGGATACCTTTAAGAGGTGATTGGGTTAAAGCTATTATTGCTGGAGTAGATTAGTTACTGTGGGAATGGGTTTCTGATAAAAGAATGAGTTCAGCTCCCTTCCTTTCTCTCTCTCTCTCTCTCCCTCCCTCTCTCTTACCCTCTGTCTTCCATCATGAGATAGCACAGCAAAAAGGCCCTCACCATATGCAACCTCATCAATCTGGGACTTTCCAACCTCCAGAAGTGTAAAAAATAAATCTGTTTTTCATAAATTATCAAGTCTTAGTCTGTTATAGCAGTACAAAATGGACTAAGACATCCTCCAACTTCTAAAGGACAACTTCCACAGAACTCACAAGAGAAACCCCATTCAAGGAGCTCTAGGAAAGACCAGTGTTATGCAACTTCATTCTTAGGAAGCTGAGTGATTCTAGAGATGGTCTCCTCTCAAAAAGAATCAAGTTATAAACTCTGGCCAATGCCAAACTAATTTGATGTTGTTTACACAACATGAGAACTTTGGTCATGCTCTTATTGTGGACATGCCTAAGGTTTATGTAAGAGACTAGATCTCTGCCTGTATTATTTGGGCTCTTAGCCACCACTGGAGCAGTGGACTCTCTACCTCTTTAGAGCACCTGTACTAAATGCTGCTATAGGGTCATCTTATAGTAGAAAGCAGAAAGGCAAGTGAGCAGGCAAGACAGAGAGGACATCAGACCACATTTATCCTTTGATCAGGAGCCACTCCCATAGTAATAGGCCCTCATGACCTAATCACCACTTAAAGGCCCCACCTCCCAGTACTATTACATTGGCAGTTAACTTTTTTTTTTTTTGAGATGAGGTTTCACTCTGCTGCCCAGGCTGGAGTACAGTGGCGTGATCTTGGCTCACTGCAACTTCTGCCTCTTGGGTTCAAGCGATTCTCTTGCCTCAGCCTCCCAAGCAGCTGGGACTACAGGTGCACGCCACCACGCCTGGCTAATTTTTGTATTTTTAGTAGAGATGGGGTTTCACCATATTGGCCAGGCTGGTTTTGAACTCCTGACCTCGTGATCCACCCACCTCAGCCTCCCAAAGTGCTGGGATTATAGGCTTGAACCACCACGCCTGGCCTGGCAATTAACTTTTAACATGAGCTTTGTCAGGGACATTTAAACCATAGCAGCCTATTTCATCTATTTGGAAAAATCACTAATATGGGTGCTAAGCCAGGATACTAAGTCCCTCTTTCCATAAAATCCACATTCATTCCATGGTGATGGCAGAGGCCATGAACACTGCTAGTGAGGAGGGGGCAAGTAAACACGAAACGACGGACCCCCTGGCATTCCTGCTGCAAATCACAGAGAGCAAGGGGCTGACCAGCGCTATGGCAGAGCAAGTGTCAGGAATTGATTTCAAATCAGGTTCTTAAGGATAATGTGGAGGATAATTATGATCATTATTGTTATTGTCATTATACCTTGCAATTACCTTGGCTTAATTAATTCAAACTTGTGAAGTGCTTTGAGATCCTCAGATGAAAGGTGCCATGTTACTCTGAAGTGTCATTATTTTTCTACTGCCCTTTCATCCAAGGTGATTATAGCTCTTCGCAAGCATTAATTAATTCTTATAACAGCCCCAGAAAGCAGATAAGCGTAGGAGTCATCCACACTGGGGCCAAGAGAGACGTTTATCCAAGGAGTTTAGCGGTAGCTATTGTGTAGTCAGTTTGGCTGTTGGGAGGCCCCCAAATCACAGGGCTTTGTGGCTGGAGCATCAGCAATTTGTACAAACCTCCAGTTTAGCAACAGTTCAATGAGGAGCAATATCTGTAAAACCCAGATTTAAAAAAATAATAATTATTCAGTTTATATCCTGAGGATATCCTCAAAGGCTTAGTTATGGGGTAGGGGTGGAGAAAAATAGAACTGTCATCTGTAATTTTTCAATAACCTGGCAACTTTGTAATCAAACAAAACATTTCTCATGTTCTACAGAAAAGTATTGGCCCAAGGTCACAATACTATGGAGCTTAAACTATTATAGGAATTGCCTTTAGTTCAAAATCACAGATAGACTTTGACTTTCACTAAGATCTATGAATTGTGGTCTTTTTCACTGCTATTTATGCTGCTACTGTGGGATGAAGAGTCTTATCATGAGACAGGAATTTTACAGACATAAGTTAGTGCCCTTTTCATAGAAAGGGCAAATCTCCTCAAAGAGGAGACTTCTCTCAATGACTTACAATCTGTTTTTGGCACAAATATTCAATGAGTAAAAGATTTGTTTAAAACAGCTTGGATATCCTACTGACTCCCAGGGAACAGAGAGCAGTGTGACAAAGGGACTTGAGGACTGGCAAAGATGCTTGTTTTCTGTTAGTATTGAAGCTTTGGAATTCTTGCACCATTTATTTAGAAATGGATGTGAATGTATAAGGTCCTAATTACATCAGATCTTAGGACTACAGTAGAAAACAAGGTATTTCATCCCTTAATGATCAGGAGTATGCCTGTCCTCTTGGCAGGGTGTGGCTGCAAGCTGGGTGCAGTGCTGGTGAGGATGAGATAGACAGTGCTTGCCTCATCCACTTGGTGCTGGACCACACTTACCTGGCACTACAAACACTGTTATTGCACAGCCACAAATACTGATGATTATTGTTTTTTACCATTACCATTACTATTGCTGTTATTATCAAATACAATAAAGTTATAATTACTACTTGACATTCATTAAGGCTTGCAAAGCACAACCTCAAAACAGACTCCACCAAAGGTTTATATAATCATTTACATAGGTAGAAAATAAAACTCCATGTACGAAACACAATTAGAATGGACAGAATGTGGTTTTTTTTCACTACAGACTGCTTTTCCAAAGAGTATACAAAATTACTCTCTGAGATGCATATGTAAGCCAAAGGTTTGCTTTGTGTGTCAGTAGAAGGAAATCCCTTGAGATACTGCTCTACTGCACTTCCCAGAACGTCTTAACACCCAGTACATGCTCAGTAAGTCAGTTTCTCTCTAGATGGAACTACATTAACACAGGTGATATAGGTGGCATATTTTGTTTAGGGTTGAAATGTCACTATTGTGAGGGTCATAAATACATATATGTACTTTTAAAATGTATTCCAACTGTTAAGTTCATGCTATATGATTGAGATTGAATTAGGCTCTTTCAAATACTGCTTCACTGATTTCCACTAAGTATCATGAGTTGTGTCATAATTCTGAGACTCAAGCATCATCCCACAAAAGAGCTGATACCCCATCAGCCATTATGATCATCACAAAATGTGCAGACATTCTAAAACAATTGCTGCGCTGATAGGACTGGCTTGTGGCGCGCACTCAGGACACGGTACAGCCTCTATTCCAATCACAGTTCAAAAAAGACTGAAAATCTCTCCCCAGTGTCAATAGCAAATACTCTCTGGACATGTGTTTAAGGAGAATCTGTTGAGTATACACTACCAAATGCAACAGTGCATAAGGATCCAGGTAATTTTAAATAATGTTAAACTTACTGAGAAACAAGAAAAAGTCCATTCCTAAACCAATTTTCATCTGTAAAAAGTTCCACTGCTTTAATTAATGATTTTAAAAATAGTTCATCAAAGTCACTTAGATCTGTTCCGTATGAAATACCATGCCTGTCTATCAACTTTTCTGATATGCGAAGCGTAATTGCACCATTAAGAGCAACTTAATTCGTTCAGTCCATGAGTCCAGGAATATATCAGATAGATTACCTGCATCTAGCTCACTTTTCCCAAGTAAAACCAAGTTAGAACATTGTGCCTGTAATTCTCCATTTGTCTGTCCCTCCAGATCCATGCCCTATCCTTCTATTTTCTGTGAGGCTCATCTCTATGGACCACATTGCACAGACTCCCTTGTCCTCTGGCTGCTGGGTGAGTTTGGCCAAGGGAGGCACCACCAGGATCTTGGAAGGAAGAAGGAGAGGATATGTCCCAGTTCTTCCCTTAAGGCCAGAGTTTTGCCAGTGGTGCCTTCCTCTGACCAAGACAGCCCTGGGCCTTGGATTCTCCAACAACCATTCCCTTACACTTGCTCCTTCCTGACAGAGCTCCTTGGTCTAGATTGAGTGGGTCTCTTTTCTTTTGCACAGAAAATGCCCTGAGTCCCTGATGAAAATAGAAGCTTATGTGGTACTCTAAAGTTTTAAAAAACCAAAGTGAATATTGTATTTCCTGCTGGGGTTTTTCCTCATGACCAAACAGGGAAGCCAAACAGAACTAACACATGTGCTCCGTACCATAAAATATCCGCATAACACAGAATTTCAAGGATGATGGCCTATGAATTGGTCCTTCCATGTGGATTATACAGGCAACTGCCTACCCTGTGTGATGTTTGGAGAAAATGATGGGTCTTGGGCCACACACGCACACAAAAATCCCTGCCCTAAAGTTTAATGCTTCTAAACCCATAGCTTCATCCCTTGTGTTTAATGATTTGTTCAATAAGAATAGCCCAGGGGTAAGGGAGGCTTAACTCTTTAAATGTCAGTAGTCATTTACACCTTAGTAAGATTAAAGGACACAAGAAAAGTTTTGGATGAGAACAAAAGAAAGGCAATATGAGGGTTCCTAAGGAAAGGGGAGGCCAGGCGCAGTGGCTCAGACCAGCCTGACCAACATGGTGAAACCCCATCTCTACTAAAAATACAAAAATTAGCCGGGCCTAGTGGCGAGCGCCTGTAGTCCCAGCTACTCAGGAGGCTGAGGCGGGAGAATCGCTTGAACCTGGGAGGCCAAGGTTGCAGTGAGCCAAGATTGTGCCACTGCACTCCAGCCTGGGTGACAGGACGAAACTCTGTCTCAAAAAAAAAAAAAAAAAAAAAAAAAGAAAGAAAGAAAGGGAAAATGAAGACAGCACAAAGTAAGAAAACAAGGAAGATTCGGAGCTGATCTCATACCTCGCTGCATTTCCTAAAACCAGACCCAGAGTTACAGATAAAAAGCAAAGATGAGCAGAACTTTCACTGTGTTCCTTCTTGCCTGAGTCAACCTACACGCGATAGGCCTTATCAATCAAGCTCCCATTTGGTAGAATGACTTCCCTCTGCTCCCACGACTTACTCTTCCCACCAGAGCTCATCTGACACATTTGCTTCTGAGTGTTTAGGAAGCCCCTTGTTTCTGAGGATGAAGGATAGCAAGTCTCGTGGGACAGGTAGGAGTCATGCTCCAGAACCCAGGATGAACGCCGTGCCTATTTTAAAAGACAATTACAATACATATAGTGTTCACGTCAGTCATCCCGGTGTTTTATTTATTGTATCTGGAAGCAGATGGTCTTCAAAGTGTTTAAACACATTTGAACATGCAAGATCCATTATTTATTGCATGAGATAGTGAATAGAGGCAGAGGCGTGGGGCCATTAGCAGGTACAGAAGGCTGGGAACGCCAAAAGGCAGCTGGCTTCCATGCAGCCCAAGAGAAAACTACCCTCTTGTCACATTGGTTTTCCAGTCCCAGAGCTGTTGGCCAAAAGCACACCTCCAGCCCGACCAGAAGCACTATCTTTGTTGCTGTGTGTGTGAAAACGAATGTCTCTTTTTGTTTTGCCAGAATGCTTGGACAAATATGCAAGTTTAAAAAAAAAAGAAAGAAAGAAAGGAAAGAAAACGGGTGTAAGTTACCAAAAAAAGCTTACTGGATTTAGAATGTCAGGGTCTAGAGAGTGGAAAGTGATTGATTTGGAAATCAAATGAGAAAAAAAAAAAACTTTCTTAAAAATGGAGTGAACGCCCTACACCCTCCCCCTCTCCTCCTTTCCTGGTCTCCTCTCCTTCTTTATTATTGATACCTCTCTTTTTGATCTCTGCACTCCTTTGTTTTGGCTTCCCCGGTGCCTAGGGAAAATGGCTAGCAGTGAGTTCTTCAGCATCCCGGCTCGGGCTCCGCAACCAGCCCCTCTGGCTCAGCCAGCTGGATCACACTGAATTAGTCAAGTACTTCATTATCTCCCCTCTCTGCACATTTTGCTCCAGGTAATAAATGCCCAAACAAGAGAGCCTTCTGCTGCACTGTCTGTGAAGTTCCAGGGTCTGGGCCAATTCTGCAGATAGGCTCCGTGCCCTGGGAGGGCACCACTTTTCATCCCTCGCCTGCAGTGCCCCCCAATCTCCGTTTAGTCACAGCGGTTCGCTAACCGTGAGCCGCTGATAACCGGCCGACTGGGGAGCCCGGGAGCCCTTGCGGAGGCGTGGGCTGGCTCGGGTGCGCAGGCCTGGCCCAGCGGGGGCGCCGGGAGAGCCGGCCCAATTATGATGTTGGGAGGGATGTTGTGATCCTCGGAGGCGGCTCTCGCTAACAGGCAGGGGCCTGGGGGTCCCGAGGCAAGGCCGGTCTCACAATGGACAGGCAAAAATGTAGATCTCTAGGTTTGGTGGGCAAAGCCACAGGGAGGAATTTTTAAAACATAATCAAGTGGCCACCCTTGAAAAGTCAGGTCAGGCTAAATCACGATGTGAACTGTGTGGCCCTATCCCCTTGCTAGTAGATGGCCCGAAATAAGAGGCTCCTTCAGCTTCAGAAGTAAGATCCAGGTTGAGCCCTCCAAATGCAAACACATTTTCTCCCTCGATTTTCCTCTGACTTTGGGGTTTTGTGAGTTGTTTTTTTTTTTCTTCCTTCCTCCCCTGAGAACAGTTTCAGCTCTGCTCATTGCAGCAGTGAGGCAAACCTCCAAGGCCTTCTTTCTGGTTGGTGACAGGCCAGGTACCTAAACCAGAGGGAGCAGAATCAATAGAATTGAGCATCTTGACCTGCACATTAAAGGGCCTTTTAGGGTGACTGAGATTGCAATGTCACAGAATTGTAAATGCATGTAAGAAAATTTGGCTACAGAGACTAGCACTTTAAAGATAACACTGTCTTCATGTCAATTAAACAGGGAGAATGACCTATAGGGAAAGTTAAAATTCAGGATTGATATGAATCAAGAGATTTTAAAGCAAGAGAAGCTTTTTTTACATCCCTGGTACAAGTATTATGGGAAAGTCCACAGAGGAAGAAAGAATATATAGATCAACTCTCATTCATCAAAGCTAACTACTTTAATATCAAAGAATGGGAGAAAGGGAGCTCTCAGGCAAAACAGGGGGTCCCCTCCTCCTGTACCCCCTGCTCCAAGTCATTAGGAAAAAAAAATGATAGAAAAGAAATGTCTCTGGCCACCGAGGTCTAGACTGCAGCATTTAGATAAAAATATAAATGGCAAAATACTGCTAAATTAATCCAACTTCCTTTGATTATTGATGTCCTACTGTTTTGTGCCTGAAACAACATACAAGATGCATCAGTCATTTATAAATTATTCATTCAGTTATTTTGGCAGCAGTGTCTTTCCATTTATCAACTGATAAATGTACAGAAGATAAGAAGGGTAATTTTATAGCCTCTTGACATTTACCTTTGACATGATTTTCATATTTAATAAGGGAAAAACACTAATGAAATACATTTGACAACACCGTAGGCATCATAGATTAACACCAGCAAAAATAAGCCACAGGCACCCGATCTCCCAGCTTTGGCCAGGAGCTCCAGAAACTCACCAGCTCCCTTCAGTTTCCTGCTTGACACACTCCCATCTGTGTCTGCAAACAGAAGTAGATATAATGAGAATTTTTGCTTTTGCTTCCTTGTTTGTTTGGTTCTGAATAGCTCTACTTTGTGACCTAAACAGAAAGAGGCATTGTTTTTATTTTTGGTTTTTGGCAGGGTGGTAGTCTAAACAGTTTTATTTTCTAAAATATATCTACCAGGTAGATTGGATAGGTCTATAGGGATGGTGTATGCCTGGTGATTTTGTTATTCATACCAAAGCAACTCACTTTGAGCATTCATGCCAATTGGCCCTCTTGATTCTTTTTTTTTTTTTTTTTTTGAGACGGAGTCTCGTTCTGTCGCCCAGGCGGGAGTGCTGTGGCGCGATCTCCGCTCACTGCAAGCTCCGCCTTCCGGGTTCACGCCATTCTCCTGCCTCAGCCTCCCGAGTAGCTGGGACCCTCTTGATTCTTGATAAAAGTTGCAATGGATAATCCCTTCACTATCTACCCCTCCACCATAATCAGGTCTTATTTGTGCCTTAGTCTCACCAACCTTCTCACCTGGCTTTCCATTCTGCTCCACTTCTCTGACTAGTATTCTATAACTGTGCTATTGACTCACACCCCACAACACACACAAACACACACACACACACACACACACACACACAAAACGTACAGAGAGATCTAGAGAGAAGTAAGGTTATCAAGTGACGCCCTGGGACCTAGACTGTGGGCTGGAACTGTAGCTAGATAGAGTGGGTTGCCAAAGTTGGACTGCTGGCTCTGGTCAATCAGAGGCCAAAAGATAAGAGTGACAGCAGTTTCTTCATGCACTCTAACCAACTGATATATCTAAATGTTTCCCTTACATCCAAAAGCTTCATCAACAGAATTTTGTAAAAGATCCGGACATATTATGAGAATAATTTAAATAGATTCCAGGAGTGAGATCAGATAGATAGGCAATTTTCATTTGGCTGTTCCCTAGAAGGACCTACGGATATAAAAAGTCCCTTTATCTTAGAGTTACTGGGATACCAGGCAGGAAACCAAAGCAGATTCTCAGAAATAAAACCTCAAAGGGGAATTTATCAGGATGACAGCACTAAAGTACCTGACAATGTTTGGAAGCAGTGATGTTGTACAAAAATTATTTCACTTACGAGACTATAATTTCCTTGAGAAAATGAACCAAGTTACATTTATGTTAGTGTCCCCATACCCTAGCACAATACCAGGCAATTAATAGGTATTCAATAAAAGTATGATTTTTTTTGCATTATAGTTAACATTTATTGAGGACTTGCCATCTGGCAGGTACTATGTTAAAAACTTGGTATACATTATTTCATCAGCCTCATAATACTGTCAATATTAGTTTTCAATACTGTGAAGTATTTAGAGGCTAGGGAAATAAAATCTAGGGAGGATAGTTTCCTGGGGTCACACAGTAGTAAGTGCCAGAGCTACGGTTAAAAAAAAAAAAAAAAAAAAAAAAAAAACATAGACAATCTAATGCCAGAACCCATGCTCTTGGCTACATTTGTTGCCTCTTGGGTTGAACATCTAAGACCAGGACTGTGAAAGGAGGATGCTTGGTCAAAGTAGGACCACACAAAGCTGGCATCATTTTCATACTAAGTCATTGGGATAGGGTTCATTAAGTTTTTCACATTATTATTATCCCAAGGGTCTAAAGCAGGGACTTTCTGGAGGCATATACAAATAAAATGCAGAGGGCAAAGCCAGAGCTTGAATTTTATTTTTATAACGGTATGAAACATTTACCCAAACTCCATAAGTAAAATGAGAAACAGAAAAGCGACGTTGAACTCTTTCTTTAATAAACCTCTAAGCTATTTTTTTAAAACAAGCACCAACCCACAATGTAAGGAAGACATGCCAAATGCAATGACAGTCAGCTTGAGAAAAGACACCCTTTACTGCAGATCTCAAGCAAAGCCAACAGCACACGCTTCTCCAACCCAAGCGACATACTCTGAAAGGTAAAGCAATGGTCTGTGCTTTTAACTATCTAGGGCTATATACTATATTATTTCTAAACTTAGTGGTTTAACCATCATAATTTAATGTCTCACAGTTTCTGCAGGTCAGGAATCTGGACATGGCTTAGCTGAGTCCCCTATTCAGGATCACTCATAAGCTATAATCAAGGTGTCAGCCAGGGCAGTAGTCATCTGAAGTCTCAACTAGGATAGGATCCACTTCCCAGCCCACTCATGTGATTGAGGACTTTAGATTAAAGGCCTCAGTTCCTTGCAGGATATTGAGGCCACTCTCAGTTCCTTGCCATATGGGCCCCTTCACAGGGCAGCGGAAAATATGGTGGCTTTCTTCATTACACTAAGGAAGAAAACAACAACAACAATGAAAAAAAGTGGGAACTAGATGGAAGTGACAGTTTTTAAATAATCTAATCTTCAAGTGGCATCCATTTATCTATTTTTCTTGGAGGCAAGTCACTAAGTCCAGCCCACGGTCAAGAAGGGATTATACAAGGATGCAAATATCAGGAGGTGAGGATAAGTGGGGCCATCTTAAGTCGTTCATTTATCTCATCTTACTTAAAACTAAAGGAACAGGTGCGTGGACTGGCAGTGGGAAATTCCTTGAGCCAGTTAGAACAGAGTCATGAAAAACACAGAATATGGGAATGAGCAGAGAATCTATCAAGTTATATCTGCAGAATGCATTCTGTGTTTGGCAAATGTGACAAATTGTGTTAATGGCCCAATTCTGCACCCTTGTATCCATGCTCTTCTTCATGCAACTTTTCAGTTACTCTCACTAAAAAGGTACAGGTCTTTTCCTCGCCTTTGGGATCTTGGCTCAGCTAAGTCATTTGCTTTAATGATGTGCCAGTTCCAAGACGAATTCTCAAGAGTCCTGTGTATTTCTCCTTACTCTCTTGCACCTCTGTCATTGCTATGAGAAGGATAAAACTAGGGCCAATATGCTGGTCTCAGGGGATAAATGAAAGCTATGTAGAGCAAAACCACTCCCAGCCTAGGCCAGCCTAAACCAGCCAACCACCACCAGCTGTAGACTTAGGAATGAGCCAACTTGAAAGTTAACCAACTTATGAATGTGACCAACATGATCACAATAACTAATAAAAGTTTGTTGTTTTTAAGCCACTAAATTCTGAGATGGTGTGCTATGCTGGAATAAGCAACTCATACAGTATGGGAAAAGAAGGAATATCTGCATTAGGGTCATTCTTTTACTAATAATCTCAGCTGGCTTGGAAGAAGTAAATCAAAAGATCTGAAGGAATGACCTGTCAAAGCCATAAGAACTTCTGCAAGGCTAAAACATAGTTTTGCCTTTTTTGGAAGATTAGCCTCCTAAAAATACCTGGTCCAGAGAAAATGTGCTTTGTTCTGAGAAAAATGAAAGTCTTTAGTAAAATGAATTAGTGTAAAAATCCCAAAAATATGACATAAAAAAGAAAGAAAAAAATGCAAGTGAAATGGCATATCCCCCCAAAATATTGGCATAAAGCCACTGAAAGCAAGAACAAATATATAAGTACGAATTTTGAAAATGTAACAAATCCATTGCCCCTGCAAACAAGAGCTCAAGTAATATGCAACGATCAGAGAATATACAGGGGACTAACATAATTAGTCAAACCATGAGCTTGAAGAGCTAAGGGAAGAAGTCAGACAAAAAAGGTAGTGGAGCTCCTCCCGCCACCCAAGATGCCTAAAGGAAAGAAGGCCAAGGGGAAGAAGGTGGCTGCGGCCCCTGCTGTCATGAAGAAGCAGGAGGTCAAGCAAGTGGTGAATCCCCTGTTTGAGGAAAGGCCTAAGAATTTTGGCATTGGACAGGACATCCAGCCCAAAAGAGACCTCACCCACTTTGTGAAATGACCCTGCTATATCAGGTTGCAGCGGCAGAGAGCCATCCTCTATAGGCAGCTGAAAGTGCCTCCTGTGATTAACCAGTTCACCCAAGCCCTGGACCACCAAACAGCTACTTAGCTGCTTAAGCTGGCCTACACATGCAAAACAGAGACAAAGCAAGAGAAGAAGCAGAGGCTGTTGGCCTGGGCTGAGAAGAAAGCTGCTGGCAAAGGGGATGTCCCCACTAAGAGACCACCTGTCCTTCGAGCAGGAGTTAACACCATCACCACCTTGGTGGAGAATAAGAAAGCTCAGCTGGTGGTGATTGCACACAACGTGCATCCCACTGAGCTGGTGGGCTTCTTGCCTGCCCTGTGTTGTAAAATGCGGGTCCCTTACTGCATTATTAAGGGGAAGGCAAGACTGGGACATCTAGTCCACAGGAAGACCTGCACCACTGTCACCTTCACACAGGTTAACTCGGAAGACAAAGGCGCTTTGGCTAAACTGGTGGAAGCTATCAGGACCAATTATGATGACAGATACGATGAGATCCACTGTCACTGGGGAGGCAATGTCCTGGGTCACAAGTCTGTGGCTCATGTCACCAAGCTCGAAAAGGCAAAGGCTAGAGAACTTGCCACTAAACTGGGTTAAATGTACACTGCTGAGTTTTCTGTACTTAAAAATAATTAAAATAATACAAATTTTCCTTCAAAAAACGGTGGTGGAGAAATGAAGTTTACACTACAAGTAATATAAAAGAGAACCAATGATACTGAAAGTATAATGGGCACATGGATGACAGGAATGAGGAAAAGCAAACAAAATGAGATGGGACTAAACAGGCTTAAAATGTTAAAGAGAAAATGATTGGCAAGTAAGACAGATGCAGAAAACATAATAGCTGTATAATGTTTGTCCCTGTAGAAGTAAAATAATAAAACAGAAAAAATAAAGATATAATTCAAGAAAAGTTGCCAAAATTATAAAAGATTTGAATTTATAGAAAAAAGGACACACTACATCAAAGGAAAAATTATTATAGAAAAATCAAAATATTGGGCCAGGCACAGTGGCTCATGCCTGTAATCCCAGCACTTTGGGAGGCCAAGGCAGGTGGATCACAAGGTCAGGAAATCGAGACCATCCTGGCCAACACGGTGAAACCCCATCTCTACTAAAAATACAAAAAAAATTATCCAGGCGTGGTGGCGGGTGACTGCAGTCCCAGCTACTTGGGAGGCTGAGGCAGGAGAATGGTATAAACCCAGGAGGCAGAGCTTACAGTGAGCCGAGATTGTGCCACTGCACTCCAGCCTGGACAACAGAGCAAGACTGTCTCGAAAAAAAAAAAAAAGAAAAAGAAAAATCAAAATATTCTCTTTGAGACATCCCAGAAAGTTACTAAACTTCAGAGGCAAAAAAAGAATAATCTGGGGATCCAGACAAAAGATCAAGTATTTAGAGGAAGAAAAAAATGCTAGTCTCAAAGTTCAGAAAAATCAACGCCAGAAGACAGAGGAGCAGTGCCTGCGAGACCCTCTAGGAAAGAACACGTGACTGAGGTTTAAACCCAGACAGACTGTTATTTACCAATCACTTTTTCAGATACAACAAGATTTTAAATCTCAGTAGCTTTATTAAGAAACTATCAGAAAAGTAACTTCAGACAACCAAGAAAGAAATGGAGTCACTATGGCTAAAGGACTGGCACGGAGGGTTTTAAACGATGGAGCTGTGTGACCAAAACTTGAACGAATATGAGACTTGTAAATTAAAGAATAGACTTTTATAACTTTCAACTCTGACAATGTAGAAATTATATTTTTAAATAATTTTTTCTTTTTCTTTTTTTTTTTTTTAAGAAACGTGGTCTCACTTTGTTGCCCAGGTTGGTCTCAAACCTCTGAGGTCAACCAATCCCCCACCGTGGCCTCCAAAAATGCCAAGTGAGCCGCTTCACCTCCCAAAATGCTGGTGAGCCACTGTGCCCAGCCAGTATGATTTTTTTTAAGTTGAGATGGGAGGAAAAAAAGTAAAAAGGAATATAGTTTTGCTTATTTCTTCTTAAAAAATTGTTTTAATAGCCTGGGGTCAAATGAGGCAATTTAAACCTGACATATCAAATAACAAAGCAATAACTGCACTTAGAGATATAAATATAATTTTTTAAATAATATAAACAATTAAAATTGGATGATAGGAGGAAGTATGTAAGACAAACAAATTAATTTTCAATTGCTTGTATTAGAGAGTTGATAGATACTCTCTTGAAGAACAGAAGATTAAGTGTATTATATAATGTTATAGTTATTAAATAATCACTAGGATAAAAATTAAAACTTTTAAAATTATTATAAGAAGCAAAGAAAGCAGAGCATGAGATGAAATAATTAAAAAGAAACAATAACAGATAGCTTGGCATACTATATAAGAGAATTTAGAAATAAAACTCACTAGAAAACAAACCATCATCTGAAATATTAAAACTCTCTAGTAAACAACTCAGAAAAGAATAAGATCAAACCCGAAATTATGGAATATTTAGAAAATGATGGAAATGAAGCATTACATATCACCTAAGAGATATTGTCCAATCATGCTTAATGCAGAAACATTAGATGCAGTCTTACTAAAGACAGGAACAAGACACACATGTCCTCATCATCACTGTTAGTCCACATTGTTCTGAAAGTACTAGCCACTGCGTTTATTATTTAAAGACAATATTTACCTCTAAACACATAGGAGAAACAATTGAAAAACCACAATGACAAAAAAATTTAGGAAGGTGCCTCCAGTACAAAATCATTCTCCTTCCTATATAAAAACAAACAACCAATAAGAATATGAACTGAAGGGGGAAGAAACATTTATTATAGCAATAAAAGAATAAAATACATAGGAACAATAGACTTTTTTCACCAATAAAAAATTAGCATAAGAAGAAAACTTTTAAATGCTATTGAGGGACATGGAAGAACATTTAAATAAAGAAGCTTGTTTTAGGATAGCAGCAGCCAACACCAAAAATATATTTGTTCTTCCTGACATAATAAATTAAACACAATCTTCATAAAAATTCCAGAAAATTGTATTTGTGGAAAAAATTTGAAGAAAATATGTTTTAAATTTAAATAAAAAGAAAAATGGGAATTTTTGAGGCAAATTCTGTGAATGAAGAATAATAAAGGGGTGATCAAGTCTAACTTAAATTTCAATAGGCTATAATAATTCAAGTGGATAAATATTGCAAACAGGATAAAAAGCTCAGAAGTGGATCCAATATACACAAAAGTTGGCATTCCAAACTTATAAGCAGACAATAAATAATTCAGAAAATAGTTTGTGAACAACCGGAAACCCTGTGGAAAGAACGGAGTTGGGAAAATAGCTATCTCCCAACTTATATCAAAATAAATTCCAAATGGACAGAGGTTTAAACCGTACAATATAAAACCATCAACCTAAGAGCAAGGTTTTATAATAATGGACTAGGGAAGGTCCCTCTAAATATGACCTAAAATTCAAAAGCAATAGAACATTCATTGAAATGTATAAAAATAAAACTTTCCTGACTGGAAATAAGCCCTGTAACAAAATCAAAAGACAAATTACAAAACTGGGGGTGAGGGAGGAGTAGGGAATGCAATTAATATCACAAACACAGGCCGATGGCTATAATAAATAAACAGTTCTGACATATCCATAAAAGAAACAGAAAAACTAAGCAAAAAGATACATATTCACAAACATACATATATTGTACATATTTACATATATGTATATGAGTGTGTATGCACAAAAACACACATATACATATGGGAGTTTCACAGAAAAAGGAACTAAAAAGGTCTTTTAGTCACATGGAAAGATGTTCAACTTCATTCATAATAAGAAATAAAAATTAGAACTTAACTAAAAGAACTTAATTTGTTTAACCTATGAGATTAGCAAAGTTAGATAGAGTTTGATAATAGTGTGTTATCCTATGTACACAGAGGTACTTTCCTAGAAAAGTAAGTGAAAAAATTGTCCAACCACCATACTAATCACCCTGATTTGATCATCAGACATTATATGTACTACAGCATCACTATGTACCCTATAAACATGTACAGTTATTATGTGTCAATCAAAACATTAAAAATGTTTTTAAAATTTTTAAAGCACGGATTACTTATGCTATTATCTTACATTAGTTTGGGCTACTTTTAAGCTTCATAGAAATGGAATCTTGCAGTTCCTACACTCTTGTCACCAGCTTCTTTTACTTATCACATTGACTGTGATTTATCCGTGTCACTTTATATAATGGGTTTTGTTCTTTTCATTCCATGATGTGAATCTACCACAATTTATCCAGTCAACGGTGAGTGGACTTTTCAGTTGTTTCCAGTTTGAAGCTGTGAGGAATAATGCTACTGTAAATAGTCTTGCACAAGTCTTTTGGTGCACTACATGGTGATGGTTAAGCCAGAGACAGCTAAAGAGTTGTGGAGATAGCTGGGTAGACTACAGATATTAAGAAGGGTGAAGGTAAATAGCCCTAAATTATACCCAAATGCTCTTCATTGCTCAAATATAATAACAATAGCAATAAGTCCAAAAAGTGTTACCCTCAATGGTATGTATCACTTTCAGCCTTGGTTTCATAAAATAGCACATAGTTTTTTAACAAGCATAAGCTAAAAAAAAATGTGCCACTTAATTAGCTTCACAAATGGCTGCCTTGCTGTTTTCTACTTATTTTAGGGTGGATTTGATCTGTATGTATTCAACCCTGAACTTCAGCAATATAAATGACCATGCTTGCCCTTATCCACCTTCTTACAATATGTGACTGAGAGGGACATACCAAGATCGAGGACTAAGGATTTCTTAGGAATGTGAATTCACAGACTGGAAGGCAGAGGGCAAAAATCATCTTAAATCTTTGTTTAAAATACTTTCATTTTAAAATGCTACTCTAAATTGTTTTGTTTTGTTTTGTTTTGTTTGAGGCGGAGTCTCTCTCTGTCACCAGGCTGGAGTGCGGTGGCGTGATCTCAGCTCACTGCAATGTCCAGCTCCTGGGTTCAAGCGATTCTCCTGCCCCAGCCTCCCCAGTAGCTGGGACTACAGGTGCACGCACCATGCCCAGCTAATTTTTGTATATTTAGTAGAGACGGGGTTTCACCATGTTGGCCAGGATGGTCTCAATCTGCTGACCTCGTGATCTGCCCGCCTTAGCTTCCCAAAGTGCTGGGATTACAGGCGTGAGCCACCACACCCGGCCTAAACTGTATTTTTTTTATAATAACATAAGCTTTAAACTAAGACTGATCTGCAGAGGTCTTAACATAAAGGTGTTTGTTTCTGAAGAAAACTTTGCTTCTGAAAAAGTTATTGTATGACATTTCCAATGCAAATAATACCTAGACGCAGAAAACAGCTGCAAAAAATGTCATATATTTAATTTCTTAAATAGCATTTAAAGGAAGAAAAGCAAAGTATTATCACATTCTGATTTGAGAAAAGTAATTGCATGGGTATCAATACTGGAGAGTAGCAGTACCCCATTAGTGCCCGTAATTTTTATTTCTTGATTCTGCTGTAGGAATGTATTTTGTAGGTAAGCTAGACACCAGAAAGACTTGTCATACTGTGGAAAGTGGGAAGTACTGAGAAAATAAATAGTCAAAGTGCTTAGAAACTGCTACTGGGACAAGAAAAATGCACAGGAGTTTCCAGCGATCAGAGAAAGCCAGAGGGTATTTGGATGGATAATGCCCCAACATGATGTAGGTAGAAGTGTTTAAATTTAAGGTAAAGAATTGAGGTAAGTAAAGGCCGGGCACGGTGGCTCACACCTGTAATCCCAGCACTTTGGGAGGCTGAGGTGGGTGGATTACAAGGTCAAGAGATCAAGACCAACCTGGCCAACATGGCAAAACCCCGTTTCTACTAAAAATACAAAACTTAGCCAGGTGTGGTGGCGTGCACCTGTAGTCCCAGCTACTTGGAAGGCTGAGGCAGGAGACTTGCTTGAACCTGAGAGGTGGAGGTTGCAGTGAGCTGAGATTGTGCCACTGCACTCCAGCCTGGCCTGGCGACAGAGTGAGATGCCATGTCAAAAAAAAAAAAAAGAATTTAGGTAAGTAAGAAAGCAAGTTTCTCATTAAGTTCAAATATCAAACCAGGATTGGCTTAAGTTAAGGTTTCCTGAGAAAGACACCAAGTCGTGTTTATTTTTTTGAAATTTCCCTGTACATGTGTCACTTCAAATCACATTTGGTGATATTGGTCATTTAGCTCTTGGAGAGAAACTCATTGTATAGTGGAAAGAGAAAGAAAGAACTGACAAACTTCACTAAAAAACAACTTTATAGCTGAAGGAAGGTGATTAAACGTTCCTGAGCCTCAATTTTCCAATCTATAAAATGAGAATAAATGGGCTAGGCATGGTGGCTCACGCCTGCCATCCCAGCACTTTGGGTGGCTGAGGTGAGAGGATCGCTTGAGGCCAGGAGTTCGAGACCAGCCTGGGCAACATAGTGGGACCCTGTATCTACTCAAATAAATAAATAAATAAATAAATAAATGGAGTTGCTTTGAAGATTCTAAAACTGAGTATATAAAAGTCACAGTAAGTATTTCCTTTTTTTAATTTAATTTTATTTTATTTTATTTTTTGAGATGGAGTCTTGCTCTGTCACCCAGGCTGGAGTGCAGTGGCGTAATCTCGGCTCACTGCAACTTCCACTTCCCGGGTTCAAGCGATTCTCCTGCATCAGCCTCCTGAGTAGCTGGGACTACAGGCCTGTGCCACCACTCCACGCTAATTTTTTGTATTTTTAGTAGAGATGGGGTTTCACCATGTTAGCCAGGATGGTCTTGATCTCCTGACCTCATGATCTGCCCACCTCGGCCTCCCAAAGTGCTGGGATTACAGGCGCGAGCCACCGCACCTGGCCTCCTTCTTTTATTTAATAAAGTTATCTTATTGACCTCTTAAAATATAGAACAAGAAGGAAGGCACTTTCAGGGCTCTGTTTTCTGTCTTTCTCTCCTTTCCTGCTCCGTCTCTCTTCCCTGGTAGGTAAGTTGAAGTGTCCAGGTGCCTACTGCTATCATATGACAGCTGCCTTAATTATAACTTTGGTTTTTGAGTGCGAAACAAATACCGTGAAAGCTGGCTCAGAAACAAAATTTTAAAAATGACAGTGGGAGCAAAAACTATTCTAGCACTTCCTGGTGAATACACACTGTTTAGAAAGGGGTTACACTTGAAGGAACAATGGTGTGTGTCTATACCAGGTACTCAGCATCGAAGGGTAAGATCAAATTACGTAAAAACATACAAAATAACTCTCCTTAAATGAGAAAAGTCTGTATGTGTGTGTTTCACCTATGAAGTCAATGAGTTTAAAAATTAAGACCTACTTCTTAGATAATAAATTTTAGCCTTTAAAAATGGCCTCCTCCCACCTAAATGAACTGTAGTATATAATCACATTTTCTGATCTTAAACGTATGGAAACGATACAGTTTTTAAGAAATCCTTATTTAAATGGATTGTTCTTTTCCCTAAGCATGATGTCAGTCAAATGAAAGAAGAAAATCTCCATCTTCCTAATTGTTACCACCCAAACTTAGTAAGGTGGTCCTGAATTTGAGTCACAATGCTTTAGACTTTTCTTGACATCTAATTTGTATTGTACCAAATAAATTAAATCTAAGTGCATTAAGATATCACCCAACTATTTAAATAGGTTCATTTACAAAGGGCTTCTTTTTGATTCCAAACCAAATTTATCAAATTCTCCCTGGTATCTGTACCTTATCATAGTTTCTCTATTTCTCCTCTTGGGGCCACCAGCCTCTCAGTTACCTAGGATTCCCTTGATTCTTCCCTTTTTCTTGCATTATAGGAGCAATGAGCTACCAAGTCAAACAGCTGTACCAATGAAAGAGGTCTACGTCCAACTGCACCGCTTTCTTCTCACTACCACAGGAATACATTAGACTTGCATCACCTTCTGGCTTGTACCATTTAAAATAGTTTTTTTTCACCAGGAGTTCTGCCTCAAGTCTTTTGCCGACTCCAAGTCATCCCATCATCTCTAGATTATAACCCCTAAAGTGTAATACTGAATTAATGGCTCCCTTACACTCATTCACTCAAAACACCTTCGTGACACCAACTGGACTCCTCAAGACACTTTAATGGCACCTAAACAAGTATTTAAGGTCCACAATCAGCCAACTTAATTCTACATTTTCCGACTTTTCTCCATACCGTGCTGCCCTTTTCTTAACCCAGTGTTGAGTCAAACTAACTGCCCCACATGGGGAACCTATGTGGTACCTTCCCTCCTTCTTCTACCCTTACTGCTTCTTTCATTTCCACCTTCCTTTCCACCTTTCCTCACCAGTTGAAATCCTCATGATGCTTCAAAATTAATATTGTGAAGGATTGCCTGTTCGCTGGAGTTAGAAATAACTTTGCCTTCCTTTGAGCTTTCATAGCACACTGAATTTCTCTTTTCAGATTCACTCATTCATTACAGTTATTTATGTACATATCTATATTTTCCTATTATACATAGGTATGCTCCTCAGAGTCAACATATGCCCACCAGGAGATAATTCTCCATTAGTTTTATGCTTCTGCATATCTTCCAAGCAGAGGTTCTGGCTGCATTGGTTTCAGACTATCTTTTCAAGGATGTTTACAGAGCAAACAATCTTGGAAAACAGAGGTAATGTCTCCCTTCAGAGCAAAGGCAGGTCTGCTTATGGTTCACAGCAACAAAGATTATACCTTCCTTCAGGGCATAGGTCAGGCATGCTTACTGATTCTAATAAAACATCTAGTCTGTCTAAGCTCAGAGTTCCTTCCCCAAAGCACACCCTACTCCATGTGCAGATACCATCTAGCCCTCTTCACATCACACTTTGAGAAATGGCACTCAGGAAATCAGCACAAATGCAGATACTCTGGGTTTTGCTTCTGTAAATAATAAAGTCTTTTGTCTCTGATCCAGGAGTCTCATGTCTTCTGCCAGCACTCCTGAAACTGTGATAGAGAGACTCTAAAGAGGCCCCATGATTCCCACCTCCTGATATTCACGCCCTGGGTGACTAGCCTCCTGTTGAGTCTGAAAAGGAACTGTGACTTGTTTCTATCAGACAGCATATAGCAAAGGTTGTAGGATGTATGTGACTACATCTACATGATTGCATTATAGATCACTGTAACATCTGCCTTGCGAGGAGATTCTTTTTCCCCTTACTGGCCCTAAGGAAGCAAGTGGCTATGTTGGGAAGGCCAATGTGGCAAAGACCTTAAAGCAGTTTTTAGCCAAGAGCCATCAACAAACTGAAGCCCCAGTACACAGCCTGCAAAAAAAACTAAATTCTTCCAGCAAGTACGTGCACTTGGAAGCAGATCCTTGTCTAGTCAAGCCATAGATAAGAACCCAGTCCTGGCTAACATCTTGATTGCAGCCTTATTGAGGACCCAGCTAAGCCATGCTCGAATTCCTGACTTACAGAAACTATGAAATAATCGATGGGTATTATTTAAGCTGCTAAATGTTTCATAACATAGTTACTAAACAATACATAATTAATACAGAGGCAAACTTGGTAATTTTTTTGCAAGTAGGGTGAAATCTCAGATCCTTGATAGTTCTTAGCAGTTTTGGCAGCAAGGATGGTATGCTGACAGACACGTGGCTTTCAGGAAGGAGAAAGATAAGGGTCTTGTGGACTAATTAATGGACTTTGAGGGAAATCCATGGGAATTATCGGTAAACATGTTGACCACATTATATGGTTAAATGGGCAATAAGTGGTTCTCCATTTTATTGCCTGTTAATGAGGAGGAATTTTCCTTAATTCCCCAACTTAATGGGTTCAGGCCAAGTCCCAAGAAGCAGACTCAGACTGCTAGCTGGGCAGTACCCTGGTTGTTTCTAACTCTCCTCCAAGAAGGGGAACTTTCTCACCAATCCAGCAGCCAGCCTCAGGTCTATCCCATGGTAACAATTAATGGTAGATTTATCCTAGAGGAGGCAGAAGGTGCTGTCTTCTTTCAGACAACAGTTACAGAGACATCCATTTATAGTGTGTATACAAGGTGGGAAATTTTCAACAATCATGGGCAGACACTAACAGCATTGTGGTCCTACCTGCAAAACACCAGCTATCTCTTTAGGGAAAATTATACTCTTCAGTCCATTGCCTGAAACAAAACTGTTGTTCAATGGAACTCCTGAACCTGGGCCTGGACCTCGTTCACACATAGTTGAGCTGAATTGAAACCAACAGTGTCTGTTGAGTCGCTGCAGCTGTCTAGCCTTAGTGACAGCTATGCGCAACCAAAAATGCAGATGTCTGCTCAAATCAGTGAGTAGAACTCAAGTCCATTCTCACTGTTCTGCCCACTATTCCCCTCAATAAACTATGTTAAATTTTGACCGGCTTTTGGACTAGGACCAATGGTCTAATTGTTTGGTCTGCCACTTGAAAACTGTAGGCTGGCAGATTAAAGATACCCTTATTTTGCTTCATGAAATGAAAAAAAAAAAATTACTGCTGCTAATGAAATCTTCTGGGTTACTCACACAGGAGTCCAGGGTAAAGGCCTATTCTGTGATGGAACTAGCTGGAGTCAAATTGCTGATTGAGTCTGTACCACCTGGACTGCCACTGGTGCCGTCTGGCTCTGTCCTTATACCGAATACGGCAACACATGCCCCAGCATAGACTAAGTAAGAAGTAAAGGACTATATGTTTTTTGATGCTGAGTTATCATGACAAGCCAGACTTCTGACTCTTGCCAAGTCAACCCATTTATTTTACAGTGAGTGAGGCAACATAACACAGGGTATGGCTCCCATCCACTCCTGGAAAATAGAGCACATCAGACTTTTAATCCCTTCTCAGAGCTATCAGTGGTACCTCACTGCTACTGACATTTTGGGGGGATTATGGTGTTACTTTTCCAGTCTGATCAGCAGAATCTAGCCATAATATTGTGGCTCTTAAAACTAAAAGGAGTCACAGTGTTTTTGGTTCTCTGGAGCATTTGCATTCTAATATGCCTTTATTACCAAAGCCACTCAACAAGCTAATAGTCAAGATAGTCTTGAAAATAATAGAGCAATCATCCAGCAATTAGTTGAACTTAACAGGTGAGTATCGTCAAAGGAAGAGGCTCTCAAAAATAGGCCAAAACCACTGTCAGTGCAGGGTAACTGTGGGCATACCCAAGGCTGTGTTCACTGAGGATAAATGTCAGAGGGGTTATATTGCAGGAAGAAATAGACTCCATAAAAAATAGTCCAGCCAATCACTTAAAAAATAAACAAGAAAACAAAAATAACAAGCCCAGGGGAGAGAGGGAAGGATAGAGCACCAGCATCCACAGCTGCTATATTATCAAAAGTGCTTGGTGTCTAACAAAAAAATTACAAGATATACAAAGAAACAGGAAGGTAGTAGGCCAGGAAAAAGCAGACAACAGAAGTTGCTTGTGAAAGAAACTAGATATTGGATCTAACAGAAAAAGCATTCAAGGTAGCCATTATAAGTATACTCAAATACCTAAAGGAAATCATAATTAAAGACATGAAAGAATGATTACAATGGACATTTATGGACGATGTCATATGAAATAGAGAATACCAGTAAAGAGGTAGAAACTATGTATATATTTTAAAAGCCAAATGGAAATTCTGAAGTTGAAAATACAGTAACTAAGATTTAAAATCACCAAAGGGGTTTAAGAGTAGATCTGAGAAGCAAAAGAAAGAATTAACAAACATGAAGATCTATCAGTAGATGGTATGAAATCCAAATAATTTAAAAAAAAAAAAAAAAAAAGAGGCTGGGCTCAGTGGCTCACACCTGTAATCCCAGCATTTTGGGAGGCCAAGGTGGGCAGATTGCCTGAGATCAGGTGTTCAAGACCAGTCTGGCCAACATGGTGAAACCCCATCTCTACTAAAAATCTTTACAAAAAATTTAGCCAGACGTGGTGGTGTGCACCTGTAATCACAGCTACTCGGGAAGCTGAGGTAGGGGAATTGCTTGAACCAGGGATGTGGAGGTTGCAGTGAGCTGAGATCACACCACTGCACTCCAGCCTGGGCGACAGCTGAAATCACGCCACTGCACTCCAGCCTGGGCGACAGAGTGAGACTCCATCTCAAAAAAAAAAAAAAATTAGAAAAATAAAGATAGACTTAGAGAGCTGTAAGACACTACTAAGCACATCTACATGTCCATACTGGGAGTACCAGAAGGAGAGAGAGAAAAAGAAATTAGTAGAAAAAATAGGGGAATAAATAATGACTGACAACTTACAAAATGTATTGAAAAGCAATAATCTACACATCTAGGAAACTCAACAACCTCCAAGTTGAATAAACACAAAGAGATTCAGAAGCAGTCTCATCATAGCAAAAATACTGAAAATCAAAGACAAGGAGAAACTCTTAAAAGCATTTAAAGAAAAACAATTTGTCACTTACATATAAGCCCCAATAAGATTAACAACTGACTCATCAGCGGAAGCAATGGAAACCATAGGATAATATATTCAAAGTGTTCAAGGAAAAAACTATGCAGCAAGTTACTCTTCAAAACTGAAAGAAAACTGAAAACATTCCCAGATAAATAAAAACTAAAAAAACAGTTGTTGCTAACAGATCTGCTATATAAGAAATACTAAAAGAAGTTCATCAGGCTGATATGACCACAGATAGTAATTAGAATCCATACAAAAAAAAAAAGAGCACTGGTAAAGACAATCGTGTAATCAAAATACCCATATAAATGCATATTTATTCTACTTTCTTCTCTTATTTTAAAAACAAGTATACAGAACACTATGTATATAATGTGTTATTGAGCCTATAACATATAGAAATGCAATATAGTTGCCAAAAACAGCACAAAGGAAATAGATAGGAACAAAGCTGTATTGGGCTAAGAAAATGGCTCCAGACGATAACTCAAATTCAGAATAACAAATGAAGAGGACCAGAAACAATAAATACAAAGCTAATATAATAAAAGCTGTAAATATAAACTTGCCTTCTTTTCTTCTCTTAGCTCCTTTGAAAGACAAAATTATACAAAGTAATAATTATAGCAATCCTTTTGAATTTGTAACTTGTATGGATTTAATAATTATAACAATACCACAAAAAGAGGGAAAAGAAAAATAGATGTAATATATATAACAAAATACCATAAGAAGAATAAAAAGGAATACTTCTATGTCTCACTTGAATTAATTTAGTATAAATCTGAAGCTGATTGTGATAAGATCTATATTGTAAGCAAGAATAACCATTAAAAATTTTCAAAAATAATTAGTAAAAAAAATTCTTAAAGAAATTAAAATGCTACATTAGAAAATATTAGCTTAATGCAAAAGAAAGCAGTAAAGGAAAAATAGTGGAACAAAAAGACATAAAATATAAAAATTAAAATTAAAATGGCAGATGTAAACCCAACTGTAATTGAAAATAACAGTAAATGTGAATGAATTAAACAGTCCAATCAAAAGACAGAGATTGTCAGACTGGGTTAAAAAAAAATATGATTCAACTATATGCTGTCTAAGGGAGACATACTTTTAATTGAAATACATAGATGGAAAATAAAAAGACTTTTTTAAAAAGGACATACCATGCAAACAGCTACTACAAAAAAGCTGGAGTAAATGGCTATAATAATTTCAGACAAAACGTACTTAAAACGTACAATGTTGCTAGATATAAAAATGGACAATTTATCATGATAAAGTGGTCAATCCATCTGGGAGATATAACCATCATAAACATATATGCATGTAATAACAGAGCACCAAAATATTTAAAACCAAAGCTGACTGAAATGAAGAGAGGAATAGACAATGCAACAATAAGAATTGGAAACTATAACATCCCACATTCAACAATTGATAGAACAACTAAGTAGGTCAACAAGGAAACAGAAGACCTGAACAACACTGTAAGCCTAGTGAACTATAAACATTATAAACTAGACCTAGAAGACATTTATAAGATATTTCACCCAACAAAAGCAGAATATACGTTGTTCTTAAGCCCACATATAACATTTTCTAGAAAAGTCTGTTAGGCAATAAATCAAATCTCAATAAATTTTTAAAAACAGAAATAATACAAAGCATGTTCTCTGACCACAATGGAATTATATAAGACATTAATAACAGAAAAAAACAGGAAACTCACAAATATGGGAAAATTAAACAATACACTCCTAAATGACCAATGGATCAAAAAAGAAATTAAAAGGAAAATAAGAAAAATTTTGAGTGAATGAAAATGAAGATAGAACATACCAAAATATATGAGATACAGCAAAACAGTGCTTGGAGGAAAACTGACAACTGCAAATGAAAGGAAGAAAGATTTCAAGTCAATAACCCAAACTTACATCTTAAGATAGACATTTGAAAATGAAGAAAAAAAGAACTAAAGTTAAAGCAAGCAGAAGCAAAAATAAAACAAAAAATGAAGATTAGAGCAGAAACTAATAAAATATAGAATAGAAAAATAATAGAGAAAATCAATGAAATCAAAAGTTGGTAGCTTTTAAAAAAACAAAATTGATAAATATTCATCTAAATTGATCAAGAAAAAAGAGAGAAATCGCAGATTACTAGGATCAGAAATGAAAAAGACATCACTACTGACCTTATTATAAAATAATACTATGAACAATGATACACTAAATTAGATAACTTTGATTAAATGGACAAATTCCTATAAAGGCACAAACCACCAAAATTGACACAAGAGGAAATACACAATCTGAATAGATCTATAACAAGTATAGAGATTGAATTACAGTTATGCATCACTTAACTATGGGGATATGTTCTGACAAATGTGTTTAGGCAGTTTTGTTGTTGTTGTGCAAACATAATAGAGTGTACTTATACAAACCTAGATGGTATAGCTAACTATACACCTGTATGGCCTCAGTGTGATTGCTCCTAGGTTTAGATTGTTCCTAGGCTGCAAACCTGTCCAGCATGTTACTGTACTGAATATTGTAGGCAACTGTAACATAATGGTAAGTATTTGTACATGTAAACACATCTAAACATATTCGAAGTACTATAAAATATGGCATTATAATTTTATGAGACCACTATCATGTGGCCCGTCATTAACAAAAATATTATTATGCTGTGCATGACTGTAGTAATTTTTAAAACTATCCATGAAGAAAAGCCCAGGTCCAGATGGATTCATCACTGAATTGTACCAAACATTTAACAAAGAATTAATGCCAGTTCTTCACAAACTCTTCCAAAATATAAAAGAAAGCCTTCCAGAGCCAAGATGGCCAAATAGGAACAGCTCCTGTCTATAGCTCCCAGCGTGAGCGACACAGAAGATGGGTGATTTCTGCATTTCCAACTGAGGTACCGGGTTCATCTCACTGAGGAGTGCCAGACAGTAGGCGCAGGACGGTGGGTGCAGCGCACTGTGCAAGAGCCGAAGCAGGGCGAGGCATCGCCTCACCCGGGAAGTGCAAGGGGTCAGGGAATTCCCTTTCCTAGTCAAAGAAAGGGGTGACAGACGGCACTGGAAAATCGAGTCACTCCCACCCTAATACTGCGCTTTTCCAACGGGCTTAAAAAACAGCACACCAGGAGATTATATCCCTCACCTGTCTCGGAGGGTCCTACGCCCACGGAGTCTCGCTCATTGCTAGCACAGCAGTCCGAGATCAAACAGCAAGGCGGCAGCGAGGGGGGAGGGGCGCCCACCATTGCCCAGGCTTGCTTAGGTAAACAAAGCAGCCGGGAAGCTCGAACTGGGTGGAGCCCACCACAGCTCATGGAGGCCTGCCTGCCTCTGTAGGCTCCACCTCTGGGGACAGGGCACAGACAAACAAAAAGACAGCAGTAACCTCTGCAGACTTAAATGTCCCTCTCTGACAGCTTTGAAGAGAGCAGGAAACAACAGGTGCTGGAGAGGATGTGGAGAAATAGGAACACTTTTACACTGTTGGTGGGAGTGTAAACTAGTTCATCCATTGTGGAAGACAATGCAACGATTCCTCAGGGATCTAGAACTAGAAATACCATTTGACCCAGCCATCCCATTACTGGGTATATACCCAAAGGACTATAAATCATGCTGCTATAAAGACACATGCACATGTATGTTTATTGCAGCACTATTCACAATAGCAAAGACTTGGAACCAACCTAAATGTCCAATAATGATAGACTGGATTAAGAAAATGTGGCACATATACACCATGGAATATATGCAGCCATAAAAAATGATGAGTTCATGTCCTTTGTAGGGACATGGATGAAACTGGAAACCATCATTCTCAGCAAACTATCGCAAGGACAAAAAACCAAACACTGCATGTTCTCACTCGTAGGTGGGAATTTAACAATGAGAACACATGGACACAGGAAGGGGAACATCACACACCAGGTACTATTGTGGGGTGGGGGGCGGCGGGAGGGATAGCATTAGGAGATATACCTAATGCTAAATGACGAGTTAATAGGTGCAGCACACCAACATGGCACATGTATACATATGTAACAAACCTGCACATTGTGCACATGTACCCTAAAACTTAAAGTATAATAATAATAAAATTTTTAAAAAAAGAAAGCACTTCCAAACTCACTCTGAGACCAGCATTACCAATTCCAAAACTGAAAAAGCTATCAGAAAACGAGAAAACTAAAGGCCAATATCTCCTTTGAATATGGACACAAAATCTCCAGCAAAACACTGGCAAACCGAATACAGCAACATATAAAAAGAATCATACACCATAATCAATTAAGTGGAATTTGTCCTAAGGATGCAAGGTTGTTTAACATCTGAAAATCAATTAATATAACATACCCTATCAATGGAAAAAAATTATATGATCGTCTCAGTAAATACACAAAAAGCATTAGACAAAATCTAATGGCCTTTTATGATTAAAAACACTTCACAAACTGTAAAGAGAAGAAAACTTCTTGAACTTGGTAAAAGGCATCTATGAAAAACTTGGAGTTAACATTATACTTAATGGTGAAAGACTGGATGCTTTCCCCTAAAGATAAGGAAAAAGACAAGGATGTCAAGTCTCACCTCTTCTATTCAACATTATACTAGCAGTCAAGCCAGGGCAATTATGCAGGAAAAATAAATAAAAAGCATTCAGATTGGAAATGAAGAAGTGAAATTATCTCTATTCACAGATGACATACTTATATATAGAAAATTCTACAGAATCATATTGAAATTATTAAAACTAATAAATCAATTTGGCAAGGTTGCAGGATACAACATCAACATACAAAAATAAATTGTATTTCAATATGATTGCAATGAACAATCCATAAATGAAACTGAGAAAACAACTCTTGTTAGACATGGTGGCTCACGCCTGTAATCCCAGCACTTTGGAAGGCGGAGGCAGGCCGATCACCTGAAGTCAGGAGTTTGAGACCAGCCTGGCCAACATAGTGAAACCCCGTCTCTACTAAAAACACAAAAACTAGCCGGGGATGGTGGCAGACACCTGTACTCCCAGCTACTGGGGAGGCTGAGGCAGGAGAATTGCTTGAACCCAGGAGGCAGAGGTTGCAGTAAGCTGAGATTACACCACTGCACTCCAGCCTGGGTGACAGAGTGAGACACCATCTCGGGAAAAAAAAAAGAAAGAAAACATTTCTTGTTTTAAGAACATCGAAAATATATATATTTAAGAATAAATTTAACAAAATATATGCAAAACTTATGCTTTGAAAGGCCAGGGTTGGCTGTGCGCAGTGGCTCACGCCTGTAATCCCACTTTTTGGGAGGCCAAGGCAGGCAGATGACGAGGTCAGGAGATCGAGACCATCCTGGATAACACGGTGAAACAACATCTCTACTAAAAATACAAAAAATTAGCCAGGCTTGGTGGCGGGCGCCTGTAGTCCCAGCTACTCGGGAGGCTGAGGAAGGAGAATGGCATGAACCCAGGAGGTAGAGCTTGCGGTGAGATGAGATCGCGCCCCTGCACTCCAGCCTGGGCGACAGAGCGAGACTCAGTCTCAAAAAAAAAAAAAAAAGAAAGGCCAGGGTTGTTATGGATAGTACAACTGCCCCAAGCTTCCTTTTTGCAGGCCAGGACAAGTCTGTGCAATCACTAATACATCCTGCTGCATCTGGATGAATGCCTTGGACTGAGGAGAAAAGCCACTGTGGAAACTAAAGGAGAATACTACCTGGCTATAAGATAGATCTGGATGATTCATTGAACTTGTTCAGCTTATGGAATCCGGAACCCTTTAAGTCACGGTGAGGTTAATACTGCAGGATGGCCTCATCCTGCTGCTTGAAGTCCTGTTGATAATAATTTTAATTAAATACTATATGAGGTAAATTGAATGGATTTGGCCCCAGCCTCTATTGGTCAGATTGACCAGAGCAGCAGATGGAGTGGCATACTCATGCCTAAATTTGCCAGAAGCAGGGGTGTAGAAACAAGGGAGATTGTTTCTACAAGTGGAGATTTTAAAAACATCTTCCACAGGTCTCTCATGTTCCTGCACCTGACTGTCTTTGTTCCGGGATGTATAGCAAACAGTTTTGGAAGATAGTGTCTCCTTTTGGAGTCTGGGGCTTATGGTCCAGTATAATAAGGATAATTTCTCCCTCCAAGATAAAGAGCAGGCATATTCACTGCTTGTTATAGAAGATCCAGGTTTCCTAAATTCAGGGTTCTTCTACAATGCAACTCTCTTCACGTGCAGGGTCACCTGGCCCTCTTCATGTTGCACTGTGAGAGTTATGGTTCAGGGAACCAAGGCAAATTCTGGCTACTGTCATTGCTGTGACTAATAAAATCCTTTGTTTCTGACCCAAGAATCTCATGTCTTCTACCAACATCTATGAAACTGTGGTAGGCTCGCCTGTTTACAGTTAACACTTTGCTTACAGGCCCTTTACAGTTCTTGACTGTGCCTATGACTTACTCATCTTTGTATACTTCATTCCATCTGTACTAAATGAGTATATAAATGAATTTTTATTTGAGCCATGTAAAAACACCCCAAAACATACAGCCGGTCCACAGATCAACTTCATGCCTCTTATGAGATATACAGTATCAGGGTATAAAATACATGACCGAGTATAATTCATAGATGAACAAAAGACCGTTTCCAAGCTATTTATACAAATAAGTCCACAACATAGCAGTTCTATTCATTTCAGCTATCATGAAAATTTCCCCAATCCCCACAGCCAAATTGATTGTGGCTTGATCTGTATAAATCTCTTATACTGCTAAAAATTAATCCATTAATGTCCAGCACAGTTCATCTTCTGCACATCAAAAATTCTCATTCTCATTTTTCCTCTCCCTCTCTCTCTCTGACACACACACACACACACACACACACACACACACACACACACCCCTTAGCAATGAAAAGTTTTTCTTTATATTCTTAAGATTCTCAGCACACTAAGAAAAAACAGCAATAAAGATGTCTGGGTCCTGAGTTAAAAATTCAGCAGAATACCTCCAACAACAACTAAATTGAATATATATACACAAAACAAGTCACATTAAGAGTAAAAACAAGATCTCTTTATCCCATATAAATATCTGCCTCCACACTATTCACAATAGTGAAGACTTGGAACCAACCCGAACGTCCATCAATGATAGACTGGATTAAGAAAATGTGGCACATATACACCATGGAATTCTATGCAGCCATAAAAAAGGATGAGTTCATGTCCTTTGTAGGGACATGGATGAAGCTGGAAACCATTATTCTGAGCAAACTATCACAAGGACACTACATGTTCTCACTCATAGGTGGGAACTGAACAATGAGAACACTTGGACACAGGGTGGGGAACATCACACACTGGGGCATGTCATGGGGTGGGGTGCTGGGGGGGGTGCGGATAGCATTAGGATATATACCTAATGTAAATGACGAGTTAACGGGTGCAGCACACCAACATGGCACATGTATGCATATGTAACAAACCTGCACGTTGTGCACATGTACCCTAGAAATTAAAGTATAATAAAAAATAAATAAATAAATAAATAAGTATCTGCCTCCTAAGATAAAATGCTCCTTGACTTCAACACCTTATAGAGGAATGAGAAAGGGAACATGTTCTCTATTTTTAAGAAGACTTTTTAAAGCTTTCATTTAATTAGCCAGGCGTGGTGGCAGGTGCCTGTAGTCCCAGCTACTCGGGAAGCTGAGGCAGGAGAATCGCTTGAACCCGGGAAGCAGAGGTTGCAGTCAGCCGAGACTGCACCACTGCACTCCAGCCTGGGCAACAGAGCAAGACTCTGTCTAAAAAAAAAAAAAAAGCTTTCATTTAAAAAGCAATTATCAGTGGACCAAAATAGATTTATAAAGATGATTCATCTCAGTTAAGCTTCAGTCAGATAAGCATCCTCAAGTCCCAGACCTGTGTGCTATGATTCAGTGTGAAATGGCTTGAGATAGACAGGGCTGGGCTGAGGCTACAGTCAATAGGGAGCCATCTCATGGAGACTCGGGCAGGAAGCCATGACTGTGGTTAATTCAATGGTGGGTTCCTTTTACATGTAAGCGAAACCTGAGAGTTCTTCTTCCTTCCTTTTAAAATTTGTCATTGAGAAGTTCCATTTTTAATTATTCTTTCACATTTAGCACCTTTGCAGATTTAGGATCTGCAAAAGTACATTAGGCTCAGCAGCATTTGGGGTGCCATGCAACTAGCTCTTATGCTACATTCCAGTTTTTCAGAATGAAGTAAAATAGAACCAAGATCCTCCCTCTGCCTTGCTCACTGATAACCCTCCTGGGCTTGGGGTGAGAGAAGAGACGTCGCCACAGTCAAATCACATCGCTCTCAGGGAAGCAGCCAGCGTTCTTTCAGACATTCATGAATGGCCCTTTTCTCCCTTTCCCTTTCCTTTTGTGCCCAGACTTTCTGTGTCAAGAACCTGAGAGCTGTTCAGAAGGGAAGAAAGGACATAGAGGTGCTCTCGCATTTCTTCCCAGAGGTGCTGAAATTAACCCCTTATCTGTCCTGGGCAAGCATCCTGAGGTTTCCTTAATTAACATTTGTCAGACTCTTTCAAAGGAAAGGTACCAGGTGATGATTACAGTAGCTTGTCTCACCCTCTTTGGCTGGTAAATTAGCTTAGAACTTTCTCATGAAACTTGGGGTATCAAGCAACTCTCCTTAAAAGGAACTAATCCCCTTTCCAATGATTTCCAATTCTAGGGTCTATAGGAAGCAGATACAATGAAAATTTGAGGCAAAAATGTACTCACTATTCAAACTTGATTATAGTGACATCGTTTTCATACTTCAAAATCAAATTCCCAAATTCTGCCCTGCAAATCCTTCCCACTTTTTCACTGTTACTTTGTTTCTATTTGGACTATTCCCATTTCCATGAGGAATACTGGCTCAGAAATAAAACATACACTATAATTTGGCTTTTGGGTTCCAGCTTTAAGACATGTATGAGCATCGTGTTGTTACTGTTAACTTACAATTGAGGATGCTTCTCTCACACTTGTTGATTTTACTAACGTGTGTGAGGGTGCCTGTGAAATCAGCATTCCAGCACCAACCATTTGTTACCAGAAAACTAATAATCAAATCAAGTAAGTGAATCACTGAGCCCCAGAGCCTGCCTCATTCTTTTGCAATAAGGATCGCACCTCATTTCCTTCTGGAACTTGATTACAACAAACAAAGATTCAAAAAGGGCTGAGGCCTAAAGATCACCCTAAACAACTTGGAGAGCTCAACATTGTGAAGCTCAGCTACCAATATGTTGCTGTTAACTCAAAGAATGGAAAAGGAGATGGAAGTTTTAAGGTTCCCCAGACTTGCAGAAATCTGTACAAACCAGCCTAAAGAACTAAGAAAAGAAAAAGCTTTTTTAGTCCTCTGACGTCTACTTGGAAGTTTTCACATACTGTAGTTAAGACCAAAGAACAAGTCTTGGGCCCGTCTAACCCTGACCAAAATTGATTTTCTGTCCAGTAACTGCCCGAGTTCTAGGTTAGTTCATGCCCTATCTGACAAAGCGCCTTCGCTAAATACGCTACAGTAGCCCACAGGGATCTTTTTTAAGGTTTCCCCAAGAGTGACTTTTTATTCCCCTCCTATCTTCCCTAGAATTTTCTTTTGTTTGAAACCGCAACCTCAGTTTTTTAAAATTCCATGAATGAAAAACCATGAATATTTTAGAAAACATTCAGGTTATAGAAGTGGCCACATTTGTTGATTTCTTAAATAAAGCTGAAGTTCTCTGTCCGTTGCTATATGGTAAGCCCTAGGGCTCAATTCAGATAAGTGTACTGTGTTTCACTGCCAAAAAAAACATCCGTTTTCTTCTACAGTCACCATAAACCAACAACCCTAGAAAAACCTGCTTTGTTGTCCTGAAGGAGCTGTTATTGTTCAGAATATTTTACATGTAAGTGAAACCTGAGAGTTCTTCTTCCTTCCTTTTATAATTTGTCATTGGGAACTTCCATTTTTATTTATTCTTTCACATTTAGCACCTGAATACTTATGGGATCTGCAAAAGTACATATTGAAATATGCAAATGGTATATAGCATGTGAGTGTCAGATTCACGGAAATTAAATCAAATACAGGGGAGAGAAAAGAAACAGAGTGCATTAAAGCTAACTTTATGGTCCCAAGCTGTAGACAAATTGTGGTCTGTGGTAGTTAAACAACAGCTGTTCGAATTTAAAATAAAATTATGATAAGGATCCCCAGAAGATAACACTTCTTGAGGTAACAGCATTTACCTCAATGCATCTGTTAGCAAATAGCACTGACGAGCGTTGATGTGAAGGTTTATTCCCATTTCTTTTCCTATGGTCGTTCTGTCATTCCCATTTCTGGTAGATAGTTACTCTTACTGAGTGAAATTTATGTTTCGTTTCCCAGCATAACCTTTTCTTCCATGTCTGCTCAGGTGAATTTCTGCTCCAGCTGGCTGGGGACCATCATGACAAGGGAATGTGATCAAGAAGACAAACACATAGATATCATGAAGAAAAGAAAACGGAAGGTGGGTACTCCTTTAGTTGGGGTTCATTTATTCAAACTAAGTCTTCCTTAAACTCTTAGTGAATAGCAATTCTTTAAGAGCTTCACACCCAATAAAATTTAAACTTTTATGTAGTATTTTCTTCATTTATTGTGCAAGAGCTTTACTGCAGACACGTAGGAAACCACCCAGCTGGAATTTGTAAGAGCAGTGACTGCTGTTTCCCTCAATACCTCAAATCTGTGTGTGCTCATTTCAAGCCTATCTGCTTATTTTCTCTCTCTCTCCTGACTCACTCCATCTCTTGCTCTCTCTAGATCCTGATCTCTGTCCCCTCTCATCACTGTCATCACCATCACATCCACCAAAATGCACATTGGTAGCAAATAGACTATATTCCTAAAAATAAATCTCTCAACCTATATGTTTTTGGTAAATAAAACAATTTATCCAAGCCAAGAGAATGCATACATTTGTTAAACAATTTATACTTTATCTGAAACATGATATTTGTTCATATACTTAAGGATGTTTAAGGAAATAATTTGGAACTGAAAACTTTCCCACAAAGCTGTGTGTATATAGAGAGATAAAATCTACATGTAGAAGCAGCCTCTTTGCATGCCCCAGTGCCAAGAAAAATCGTAATGGAGGGTTTTCAGATACAAATTAAATTTTGAAGCACTTTGCATTTTTTTTATTTTTATTTTTTTGAGACCCAGGCTGGAGTGCAGTGGCACAATCTCGGCTCACTGCAACCTCCGCCTCCTGGGTTCAAGTGATTCTCCTGCCTCAGCCTCCCGAGTAGCTGTGATTACAGGTAGCTGCCACCATGCCTGGCTAATTTTTGTATCTTTAGTAGAGATGGGGTTTTGTCATGTTGGCCAGGCTGGTCTCAAGGTCTGACCTCAGGTGATCCGCCCACCTTGGCCTCCCAAAGTGCTGGGATTATAGGCATGAGCCACCACGCCCAGCCTACATTTTTAAAAATGAGCCAAAAACAGGAGTTAATAAGGAATTATTGTTATTAAGATATGTTAACTTTTAAAATAAAACTGACATTGTAAAATTTGTCAGTGAACTGGAATATTATAGTTTGGGTTGTTTATGATTTTAACATTTTCAATAATATAAAAATTATTTGTTAATAATTTTATAACTTGCTTGCTTTTTCAGATACCAATATACTTTATTCTGAGCCAAGGCAAAGTCCATCTGACAACAGCAGATTGGACAATAACTGAAAATGTAGTCTGTAAGGAAGCTTAATAATAAGATATACATCTCTTTATATTTCACTAAATGGCTAAAGAATGCGGAAAACTTATGTTTATACAAAAACCAGCAGACTGACATTTATAGCAGCTTTATCCATAACTGTCAACATTTGGAAGCAACCAAGATGTCCTTTAGCAGGTGAATTGATAAATAAAACTGTGGCACATCCAGACAAGGGAATATTATTCAGCACTAAAAATAAAGGAGCTATCAAGCCAGGAAAAAACAAGGAGGAAACTCACATGCATATTGCTAAGTAAAAGAAGCCAGCCTGGAAAAGCTGCATACTGTATGATTCCAACTCTGTGACATTCTGGAAAAGTAAAACCCTGGAGGCAGTAAAGAGATCAGTGGTTGCCAGAAGTTAGGAGGAAAGGAGGGATGAATAGGCAGGGCACAGAGGATTTTTAGGGCAGTGAAACTACTCTGTGTGGTCCTGTAATGGTGGTTTAATGTCATTATGCATTTGGCCACACCCATAGAATGTACACCACCAAGAGTGAACTCTAATGTAAACTGTGGACTTTGGGTGATAATGATGTGTCAGTGTGGGTTCAATTGTAACAAATGTGCCACTCTGGTGGGGGATGGTGATAATGCGGAGCTGTGCACGTGGGGTGGGCAGGGGCATGCGGGAAATCTCTGTCCCTTCCTCTCAATTTTGCAGTAAACTTTAAAGCTCTTAAAAAGTAAGTATTTTTTAAACAAGAAAGAAACAAGGTGAACTAAATGTACAGCTAGATCTAACATAAGGAAATAAGAATTGCTATTAATTTACATATATTAACTAATTAATTGTGAACCTTTTTAAAATACCATTGTGAACTGTAATGTATTTTATATTCAAATGAATCCTCAGCCTTCTTCATTGTAAATATTAGCTGAACAAATGAGTAAATAAAAATCGACTTCATAGAAAATCAAGTGAGTCCGGTCATAGCCAGATAACAGTGTTTAACCCACAAAAGATATGCAATTGTTCTTTAAAACAGTAAGAGGATTAATACAAAATTATTAAAGTTTATATTAAAGACATAAATGTAATCTTTACAAATAATTTTCTTATGGATAAATTATGCTTACTGTAGTTATTAGCCGGAACTTGCAATAATCTCCATATTAAGACAACCAAGACAACAATTAGTTTGTTTTAAGGCACCTGCCAACTTATATACTAGAAAATAAAAGTTTTCCAAGTGAAAAAACAGCTTTGCTCAGAATTTAAAACACTCTACTGGATAGCCTGCTTAACAGCACTAGGAAAACAAAAATTCTATGCATCAAAAGATGAATGAAAAGAGAAACAATAAACCAGGATGAAGATACATACAAACCCAATGGCTTCATATCTAGAATACATAAAGAACTCCCACAAATCAATAAGAAAAAGAGAAGCAGCCCAATAGAAAAATGGCAAAGTATGTGAACACAGAATCTATGAAAGAGAAAATTCAAATACTCCAAAACATTTTTAAATATGTTCAACCTCTGGCTGGGCACAGTGGCTCACGCCTATAATCCCAGCAATTTGGGAGGCTAAGGCAAGTGGCTCTCTTGAGGCCAGCCTGGACAACATGGCAAAACCCTGTCTCTGCTAAAAACACAAAAATTAGCTGGGTGTGGTGGCACATGCCTGTAATCCCAGCTACTCAGGAGGCTGAGGCACAAGAATCACTTAAGCATGGGAGACCAAGGTTGCAGTGAGCTGAGATCACACCACTGCACTCCAGCCTGGGCAACAGAGCAAGGCTTTGTCTCAAAAAAAAAAGTTTAACCTCAAAATACTTACAGAGATGCAAATAAAACCATTAGATTTCATACTTATCAAATTCATTAAAGTTTTCCAATTCTGGCAACACATTATTTTGGCAAGTATATGAAGTAACACAGCTGATGGAACTATAAACTTGTACAATCGATTTGGAGAAAATTTGGGAATATATATATATATATATATATCAGATTTGAAACTACTCACAGCCTATGACTCAGCAATTCCAAACCTGAAGAAACTCCTGTCCACATGCCCAAGAAGATCTCTTTAAGAATGTTCACAGCATTATTTATTTCTAAATAATACAAAACTGAAAATGTTACACATGCTCCTTCAAGAATAAAATGTGTAAGCAAACTGTGATGTATTCATAAATAAAAATAGTTAAAACATGCAAACCAGATATCTGTATCTATCTATATTTTTATCAGCATGAATAAATGCCCAGAACATAGCACTAAAAGAAAAAAGCAAGTTGGAAGGACAAATACAGTTTAATAATACTTTTATGAAGTTTTAAATATATGCAAAAGAGCACCATGAATTGATTATTAATGCAAACATATACTATAAAAATATAATGATATGTATGAGAATGATAGACATTAAATTCAGGAAACTAATGATCTCAGCTTGGGAGGGAGGGGAACAGGGTAAGAGTGTGGGGGCTTTAACTGTACCTATAATGTTTTTTGTTTTTTGTTTTTTTAAGCTGGGTGGCTAGTTCTTCGGTGTTTATTAAATATATTCTTCATAGTTTTTGTTTTCTTAAAAATACTTCATAATTTAAAACTAAAAATGGCATCTGCCTCACAACCCCTAACAAGGCCTTTCCCAGTTTCCCATTAACATAAAGATGCGAAGGCAAATAAAAAGACAATATTTGAAATAGCGTTTGTATTAGTTTACTAGGGTTGTCATAACAAAATACCATAGATCAGGTGGCTTCAACAGCAGAAATTTATTTTCTCATAAATCCAGAGGCTAAAAGTTCGAGATCAAGGTGCTGGCAGGGTTGGCTTCCTATAAGGCCTCTCCCCTTGGCTTATAGATGGCCAGCTTCTCGCTGTGTCCACACACAGTTTTTCCTCTGTGCGCATCTGTGTCTTAATCTCCTCTTCTTATAAGAACACCAGTCGGATTGGATTAAGGCCCACCTATATGACCTCACTGAACCTTTTTTTTTTTTACTTAAAAAAATTTTAATTCTTTTAGGTACACAATGTTATATATTTGTGTATGTGAGATGTTTTGATACTGGCATGTAATGTGAAATAAGCACATCATGGAGAATAGGGATTCATCCCCTAGAGGTAATTAAGGTTCAGTTAGTATGAATATAGTCAATACTAACTGAACCTTAATTACCTCTTAAAAGTCCTATCTATCTCCAAATACAAACAGTCCCCAATTTACAATAGTCAAAACTTAAAATTTTACTGTGGTGCAAAAGCAATACCCATTCAGTAGAAACTGTACTTTGGGTACCCATACAACCGAAAAAAGTGAAAGGTTTTTCACTTTTAGTACAGTATTCAATAAATCACTTGAGACAGTCAACACTTTATTATAAAATAGACTGGATGATGTTTTTGTCCAACTATAGGCTACCATAAGTATTCTGAGCACGTTTAAAGTAAGCTAGGCTAAGTTATGATGTTCAGTAAGTTAGGTGCATTAGGAGTATTAAATGCATTTTTGATTTAATGATATTTTCAACTTACGATGGGTTTGTTAGGACATAACCCTATCATAAGTTGGGGAGCATCCGCACAGTCACACTCTGAGGTTCTGGGAGTTAGGACTTCAACATATGAATTTTGGGGGGACACAATTCGGCCCATAACAATACTGAAATCTAAGTTCAATGGACAACAGATTCCTAAAAGCTGGAAGAAAATGCCTCATTATAAGAATAGTGGAATCCTTTTGAGAATAAACAACCACTAACTTGCCTATGTTTCATATCAGGTGTAGCACTGCCCCACCCACCCCCCGCAAAGGTAGTGGGGAGATAAATCACCTCTCCTTTGTCTAATCTTACCTGAGAACCAAGGTCCAGCCATAGTATCAATTGAGAATGCCAAACATTTTCTAATTTTCTTTTGTTGCCTGAAATAGGTAATAATCTGTCTCTGAGGCTTCAAGATAATGATCTTTTCCCCTAATTGTGCAATATTTTTCTTATAAGCCTTCTGTTGGTATTTTTCTGGGTTTTTTTCATTGTCATAAAAAGACAAATCTTTTCAGTAAGAAATAGAATCTTATTCTCCCCTCCATCCCCCATCTCCTCCCACTCGCCCCTGCCACCCACCAGCCTCCACCAAAGTACAGCCCATTCTGAGACTATGAGCACATGAAAAACTCCATTTCCCAGGAAGCACTGTACTTTGCAAGGACTACACCTCCCAGGATGCAATGCATCTCAGCCGGTCTTCTCAAATGCCTGCACCAGTTTTGTTTTGTTTTGTTTTGTTTTTCAGTTACATTTTCTAAATGGATGTAAGGCAGAACTATCTTCTGCAATGGAATAAAAGTAAGCTTGTTTTTGGATTTATTGCCTTCAGCCCTAAATGCCGGAACACAGTGGAACATTGCTTACAGAATTTTGAGACAGAAAAAAATAAACAAAACCCTTGAATTTATACCCAGCCAAGTGTTATTTGACGGGAGGAAAGCAACAGAAAGAACCTTCCATCATAGAGCAGTTTATTGGTCTTTACTAATTAAACAAAAGCATAACTTGGCTTTTTCAATATACATTTCAAAGATGCAAGAAAAATCATTATTCGAGGATGTTGTTTTCAAATCGATTGGGCAGCGAGGAACAGAGCTTTTCTCTACAGTCCCTTGCCCAAATGTTCTTTTTCTGCTTCTGATGCTGTTAATTTTCCAGCATCAGAAATGCTTCTTGGATCACATCCTTAACTTACTGTTCTAAATACTTGACTTCTTCGATGAACATTTAAAACAACAAATAATGCTGTTCTGTGCCAGCATTTACTAACAATGGCCAGACTTTTCACAGGGCTGATACAAAAAGTGCTCTTTTAGCCCTCCACAATAGCAGAACTGCTGAAACCAACATAAAGGCCATTTTCATTGTCAAGCTTCTTGGTTATTGATTTTTTTTCTGCATCTTTGAAATGTACGTTGAGAAATCTAACTATGGTTTTAAATAATTAGCAAAGATCAATAAACTGCCCTATGATATATTTCATTTGACACAAATCCCCACCTCTTATCATCTTCCAAGACTGGAGAATATTTCTGTCTAAATATGTTTTTTAAACATTATATGCAATGATATTTGTCAGATTTATGTTGCAAAGAACAAAATCCACTCTAGCTAGTTTAGCTGAAGCTAGTTTATTACAAGTTTGAAATGGGTTATTGGACTGTTAGGAAGGCTGAGGAAAGAGCCTCTAGGTTAGATTTCAAGAATGGCTCCCAAAGTCACAAAATTCAGCCACCCACGGAGCTTCTTTTGTCATTTGGAAGCTGCTTGCCAAATAGGAAAGCTGCCACCTCCTGAACCTTACCAACATCATCCCAATCAAGAAGGCTGCTATAATCTGTACCAGCAAAACAGGTCCCCTCTCCACACTCCAACTCCACAGTTCAACGGCTGTTGAGACGTCCACTGGTGTCATAGCAGAAAAACCAAGTTCCTACCTGTTTCTGCTTACTAAGAAAATCAAGCAGCTACAGTCTCTGCCTCCCTTCCACCTTCCAAATCATTCATGAGTGCATCTAATTCATCTACTTTTTGGAAACTAAATTATACTCAGAACCTCAGACAAAAGGAATTCTGGGAAATGTACAGGAATGCATACCAGACAAATGTTGGGAAAGACATGGAGCACCAGTCCATCATCTTCATACCACTACCAACCTAATCATATTCTTAAATGTATAGGAAAAGAGGCAAAGGACACGCCATAATACTCATGGTCCATTAGAAGCATCTGGGGAGCTTGTTGTAACTGAGGATAAGAGTTACAATAATAATATTAATCATCATCATCACTAACATTTGATTCCACACTATGTGCCAACCAATATTCTATGTGCTGTATGAGCATTATGCCATTTAATCCTTATAACAGCCCTGAGGTGTGTACTCTTTTTATCCTTAATTTACACCTGAGAGGACTGCAGCATAAAGAGGTGAATTAATTTGCTCAAGGACACATACTGTTAAGTGATGGAATCAAGATTCTAACCCAGACAGTCTGACCCCAGAGACTGCCCCTCTGCTGGATTTAATGCAGTCGGTCTGAGGTGGGGTCCAGGAGACTGCTTTTTAATAAGCTCTCTAGGGCGACTCTCATGGACATCCAAGTTTATCTCCAGTACCTTCCAATCTTAGGCAATCATCGTGTATTAGTTTTATAATCATGAAAATGCTCTAAAAATGACAACACCTATAATTCTGCATATGCCATGTGATCATTGCCACATAAGTAACATACACACTGCAAAAGGGCTGGAAGTAAATATACCAAAGGGCTAGCAGAGATTCTCTTTGTATAGTGGGACTGAGAGTGATATTTTGCTGTCTTCTACTGTCTGTATTTTTCAAATGTTTACGATGAGCATGACTTTTATTCTATGTCTGCATGCGCTCAAGTTTCATCTATTAGTCTACAAGTGGTTGATGTTGGCACCCAAGCGTTAAAGATGTCATCTTTTTACTTGTATTTCCTTTCTGTTTCCTTTCCCGCCACTATGCAATTTTATCACATAAAATTAAAAACCAGGATGCTAACTGAAAATTTCCGAGTCCACTGGCCAGGCTAAGACAAGAAAAACAAATTTTACCAGATAAATTCAAGCGTTTGTTTTTATGTTTTACATGAGAGACTATGAAACAGTGATTTGAGGTGCCAGTTCTGAACATGTACATCAATACCTGTTGATCACACTTTATCTTTCCGCATTCCCTCTTTTTCCTGTCTACCTCCACTCCTTCTTGTCTGTAAGTCTAAAAGGGCCCTCGCCGTGCTAGGAGCTCGGCAGCCTTCTCAGAAGCACAGTCGACAGAGACTGACAGCTCGCATCGTCCACTGGGCCAGTCTGGCTCCGGCACACGCATGAGCTGACCACACACTTGGTAACCGTCACTTTGACGAGCCAGCCTCAACAACCCTGATCCATCATCCAGGCAAACATTAATATTTTACCTCAGTTATCAAGTGTGCCCGTTCAAACTTTTATCTAAAACATTCTTTATCATCTTTTCATTAAGTTCTCAAGAGCTAATGGTTTCTGAGTTCCCCGGGTAAGGATGATGTTCTGAATAATGAAAGCTCATTATTTCTCCACAGAATGCTTGTTAATTCAAATGATGATATTAAAACTATAGTAGCCTTTAGCGCTGGGGTGATTTCTAGCATACTTTATCATGTATCAATATATACTCTGTTTGTCAAAACTGCCCAGGGCTGGGGCTGACATTCTCTCTGGAGGAGTCTAGTGCTTCAAAAGGCACTGAATACACCAAGGTGACAACTGGCAGGGTTTGCGCCTCTAGGAAATGGAGAGATGAAACTTGAAGTGCCACTGTCTCTCTTGATTTCCTTATTAGTATTCATAAAGAAACAGTGCCCTCCTCTTCCTATTCCTTGTGGGTCTTCCTTTCGAATGGAATAAAAGAAAATCAATATTTTGAGAGAGAAGCACACACGGGGAGGTTCTACACATGAAATGTTATTTATTTCCATTTAACTGATCCCAGAATAATCTGCACAGAAAAAAAGACTGGTTTAGTTATTGCTTAGACAAACACATGTGTACACACAGACTGCACTCAACTCAATGCTCCAGATGGTTGATGATGCTCTTGGGGGAAAAGTGTGGGTTCTCACAGTTATTTTTAACAAGGCATTATTATTTGGTTCACTGAGTTTGGGGTGTCTTTCAAAACTTCCTAACCTTACCTCATCCAGGTTTTTATGACCAAGGAGATTCCCACAGTTGTTACATTGCTGTAAATTTCTTGAATAAGTCCCTGCTTCTCGACTTTCGACAGCAGGATACTTCAAATATTTCAAATGTTGCCAACCTCACCTTATACTCCTCAATTCTTCCTTACCTTTGGATAAAAGGTTTTTAATGACTGAGATGATTACTGCAAAGAGGTTCCTTCTCACTGAAAGAGTAAGCCCAGCCTGTCTTCTAGGTGAACTGTACAGCTTCCAGTCAGGGGATCTCCCATTTCCTTTCTCTCCACTCACTCTTTGCCTTTCTGTTATAAAAGTGTTGCAGAAAAATATAAATTGCTTCCTTCTGGATGCATTTCAAATTCCTCTCTGTGTCCTGCATTTTTGAAGCACCTGAAATTTTAGTATCCCAGCAGGTCTCCAAGGAGAGAGCAGTGTTCCCCAAACTAGGTATTTTACCTTTTTGAAATTGCATAAACCTGAAAAATCGTATCCACCCTTCCCTCTAGAATCTGGGAGGAATTGTAATTTTGAAAAACAAGCCATTCTCTGAGTTGCTTGGAGCTGTAAGGTCAACACACAGGAGCATTCGTGCACGCTACAACATGCATTTCTGTACCATTGTCTCTTAATTATCTCTCTTGTGGAAGACCAGCTGGCCTTCTGCCCACAGGCTCCATCATACTATGATAGTGAACTCTCTGCATTATAGTTGCGCTTTTTAGAACAGTAATGATCCAAAAGAAAAGGATCTACCAGCATTACTTTAATTATATTAATTATACCACTCAATAGTTTCTGCATTTTACATTAATCATGCTAGGCAATAGAATGATGCTTATTTAAATGAAATAAAAGTCACTCTGTTCATCCAACAAATGAATGACAAGGAGCATCTCAGCTAATTTATTATAGAGAAGCAAATGCATTCCCAGAATATTTCGGTCGTTAGGTCAACTTAAGAAAAATGTGGTTTAAGAAAAATATGTAGGGCATTTCCCATTGCATACATGGTTTTAAATATTCTGACCCAGTATCAGACTATGTGCCAAAACATCTTCAGGGTATACAAACATCCCAATCTTTGGTTCAGGAAATATGGTTACCATGTATGCAGGGAACTGCTTGAAACTCCTCCCAAAGTTTAAATGGTACTTCAGTCCTAATATGGATAACAAAGAAGTAGACTTGGAAGAAACTGATTAATACATCATTCCATTTGGTCTAGCAGCCTACTAAGCATCATCTTCCATAAAAGACCCCAGAAGCAAATGCTGTATTAATTTGCTCACTATTTCAGACCATATACCCACTCAATCTTTTAAAGCTCAGATTTTCTCAGGAATGGGTAGCTTTAGGACAAATTAAACATGAAACATTTGAGAAATTGACTTGTTGGCATCTAAGATTAGCAAATTAATTTTCAAGAGCAAATGGTACTTACTGCAACCGAACAAAAAATGTGGGGGAAGATGGGTAGAAAGCTAAAGTAAGGAAATATTCTTGGTAGATTCCATTTTCAATCCTTTTCACATAAGCATTTTATTCAAAGTATATTTGTAAAGGACAAAGTCAAATGTAAATGTCTGCATGATAAATCCATGAACACCAAAAATGAAAACACAGAGGCAAAATTAACTTGACCACCTGCCCCAAAAAGTGAATATAATTGAATGATTTACATATGAAAATATGTTTTTTCAGAGGTTAGGTTTTGTTTTTCTCTTAATGCATACATACAAAATTCTTTCGATGAATCACAAGTTGAATTCTACATGTCATTCTTTAATTCAGAATACATGGTATTAACCATCACAAATAAATCTACTCCGCTGTAAGGATAGCCATTTAAAGCTCAATAGGCTTTCCAGCTCAGCTGAAAATCTTTGCTGATCTGTAGTCAACAAAAATATATTGCTCCATAATCTGCAGGTTATGTTTTTTTTAAAGAAAAAACTCTTTATTCTTCTCACACTTTTTATCTGTGCAGGTTGCTATCCATAGCTTAAAGCAGGGATGAACAAACTCTCTAAAGGGTCAGAGAGTAAATATTTTAAGATTGGATTTGCAAACCATGCAGTTAATGTAGCAACTACTCAACTCTGCCATTGTAGTGTGACAGTAATCATAGACAATATGTAACACATGGCCATGTTCCCATAAAACTTTACTTGAAAAACAGGCAACAGGTCATATTTGATCCACAGACCATAGTTTGCTGGCCTCTATAAAGGAAAACGTGTCTTAAAATCATTTGCTTTATACATAGACTACTATGTTTATTTAAAATTACTCTCTAAAACTACCACTGAGAACAGAATTATATGGCTTAATCATTTATGATTAAGTCACTTATAGTTAGCTTCACATCAAGTCTGTTTCTTCCAGCATATAAATTACTTGTTGGACAAATGACTTTATCTATAAAATGCTACATAAATTAACCCAATATCTGGCGGTCAGTTGGATTCTTGACCTTGTTAAAAGTCAATCTTAATCTCAACATTAAAAAATTTAAGCATATAAGGAAGTAAAAATCTGAATAATGATAAACTTGTTTAAATCAACCATTCATGCTAGTTATTGCAATAATATAAGGAAGATCTTCTAGACCACAACTGGACCCTTATATAATGAAAATGATGTATTGAATGATCTGCCTGTGAACTGTAAGTATTAGAACAACTAAGAAGGTCTGAAGTTTTATTCTAGGATGGCAGATGCCCCTTGGAAGGGCTGTTTCAGTCTTCCACATGAAGTAGGTTAGTCCTGTCATAAACTGTAAAATAAACTGAAGAACAAAGGGCATGATTGATCCAAAAATGGATGCACTAATGAGACATCAACTAACTCAGAATTTTTATGTTTTGGGGCCTCAGAGTTTATGTAAATTGGGGCTCTTTACTTTGGGTCTATGACTGGACTTCAGTTGGGTTCCAAAAGTTCCCTAAAATTATGGGCAAAATTTGAGTGTTCAAGTGTTTAACTTTTGTCTTTTGTGAAAGTCTATTAGATCCATCAAGTAACTCCTACACAGGTCATTATCCCTCATAGCAATTTGAATAGTCTAAGTTGTAAAATATTGCCTGTAAATACTTATTTGAGATTTCAGAGATAGATTGGGAAAAGCTTGGAATTACAAAATCAGAGTTTCAGAAGGGTTCTGAAAAGTTTTCTGGCCCAACAATCATCTTGTCCTTAAATTATTTCTATACCCCCCTCAAGCATTCATGTAGCTTAGCTTAAATGTTGCTGTTGACGGGGATCTCACCTCCTTACAAAACAGCCCTTTCCACCTTTTGGTAACTCTGATTATTAGAAGGTTCTTTTTTACATTGAGTGAAACCTACCTGAACTATAGTTTTTACCCATTAGTTACCAATCTATCCATTGGTTTACCCATTAGTTCTAAGTTCTGGGGCCTACAGAACATGATAAGTTCTGGGGCCTCTTTTACATGACAGCTTTTGACTATTTCAGGTGTCAGCAAACCTCTTCTATGAATGGTCAGAGTAAATATTTTGGAGTTTTCAGCCATATGGTGTCTATTGCAACCACTCAAATCTGCTGCTGTAACACAAAAGCAGTCATTGACAGTAGGTAAATGAATGAGATGGCTGGGTTCCCAATCAAACTTTGCTTATATAGACATTGAAATTTGAATTTTATGTAATCTTCTTTTGATTTGCTTCCAACTATTTAAAAAGGGAAAGATCACTCTTAACTCACAGGCCATACAAAAAGAGGAAGTGGACCAGATTCAGCCCCTGGGCTATTGTTTGCCAACTCCTGAGATTTTCCCTTCTTCAATCTAAACATTCCTGGTACCTATAGCCATTTATTTTAAGACATGGTAACACTTCTTCATTATTCCAGCCTAAAATTGCTTTTCTTTCTTTCTTTCTTTCTTTCTTTTTTTTTTTTTTTATTTGAGGCAGAGTCTGGCTTTGTCACCCAGGCTGGAGTGCAGTGGTGTGATCTTGTCTCACTGCAACCTCCATCTCCCAGGTCCAAGCAATTTCTCCTGCCTCAGCCTCCTGAGTAGCTGGGACTACAGGTGCGCACCACCACACCTGGCTAATTTTTTGTATTTTTTAGTAGAGACGGGGTTTCACCATGTTGGCCAGGCTGGTCTCGAACTCCTGACCTCAAATGACCCACCTGCCCCGGCCTCCCAAAGTGCTGGGATTACAGGCATAAGCCACCACGCAAGGCATTTTTCTGTTTGTTTTTAGTCTTTTTCTTTGTTTGTGGATTACTCACATGTATTGAGTTATTTGACTGAAAGTATTCTAATCTGTTTAAAATTTATTACCTCTTTTTACTCTCATACCAATCCTTACAAGGGAGGTATTACTAATGTATTTATTACTTTGTTCTAGAAGTTAATATTATCCCTATTTTATACGTGGGGCAACAATAACTTTATACAAAGGTTAACAGAAGGCAAGTGACTTGCCCCAAATATGTAGTTAGAAAGTAGCAAGAAGAAGGATTCCAAGACAATCTCCTAATTCCTAGTCCAAGCTGCTTTCTACCATACCATGTCCCCTGTATCTGGAGGTCATACAATCCTGCAGAAAGGAATGAGCTTGTTCTGACATGATTCATGCTTGGTGAACCCATGAGGCTTCTGAAAATCATCACTTCTTTTCTATACTTTTGAACCATCTTTTCAGTAGATAGATCTAACATCTTACCCAGAATTAGACTCAAAGTCATCAGTTTGTTGGTTGCAGAATTATGGTCTTGCCTCTTTTGAAGGCATTCAGAATCTTGAGGAAAGTGAAATCTGAGCACAGTCAGGATTTAGAGAGAAAATGGACATTGGAGGAAGATGAGGTAGGATTAAAAAAAATCAGCATGTCTGGCCAGGAGCAGTGGCTCACGCCTGTAATCCCAGCACTTTGGGAGGCCGAGGTGGGTGGATCACCTGAGGTCAGAACTTCAAGACCAGTGTAGTCAACATGGCGAAACCCCGTCTCTACTGAAACTACAAAAATTAGCCGGGCGTGGTGGCGGGCGCCTGTAATCCCAGCTACTTGGGAGGCTAAGGCAGGAGAATCGCTTGAACCTGGGAAGCGGAGGTTGCAGTGAGGCGAGATTGCACCATTGCACTCCAGCCTGGGCGACAGAACAAGACTTTGTCTCAAAAAAAAAAAAAAAAGAAAAGAAAAGAAAAGAAAAAAGAAAAAAAGAAAAGGAAAGAAAAGAAATGGTTTGCACAATTGCACCACTGAAGGAATGTAGAGTATACCTTCCAAAGCAACCACTGCATAGGAAACAATATCATTTGGATGCGTAAGATCTGGGGAACTTGTATAAAAAATTACTCAGGCTACACTATATAGTCTTTGAAATGTCTTGGTAAGAGATAGTCCTATTCTCCCCGCCTTTTGTTGTTGTTTGTTGTTGTTGTTGTTGTTAAGTTCAATTTAACCAAAATTTTTAAGATGTACTAGTGTCTAGTGTCCTAATGACAGCATAAAAGTGTTAAAACATTATACGGGCCCTTTTCCATTTTAATATATTTTTCAGACTGCTGACATTTCCTTTCACAAGTTAAAATACCACCTTTCAACATGGGTTTCAAGCACGAGTCAAAAATACTCTTAGGTTTGGTAGAGCCTACCAATAACTCTACTTTCCCTAGACCATCCAGATAACAGGCCAAAGATGCTTCATGACTTGGGGATGAGTGGTGTTCGAATTCCAACCACAAAAGCCTCTCTCTGAGGAGACCTCCTCAAGAAGCATCAGTGCACTTCACCGGCTTGGTTTGTGTAAATCCTAATTGTATTTAGAGTATGCGCCAGAACATGGTATCAGACTGGCTCTGTTTCATAAACATCCAAGTCTGACCTCTCAAACACTGACAACTAGCACCTGGCCCCTGGCTATCATGACTTTATTTATAATGGCAGAGCCCAGTCAATGTGTTTGTAAGAAAGTTTAAAAAAAAAAAAAAGCTTTGATGGTCTTAATTATTTGTTATTTAAAGAAATCAATATATTCTGTTTACAAGGTTTTATCAAAACATTAAACATTGCACATTTTTTTCCGACTTTTAAGTTCAGGGGTATACGTGCAGAATGTGCAGATTTATTACATAAGTAAACGTGTGCCATGGTGGTTTGCTGCCCAGCTCATCCCACCACCTAGGTATTCAGCCCAGCATCCATTAATTATTCTTCCTGACGCTCTCTCTCCCCCCACCTGCCCACTCCAACAGGCCTCAGTATGTGTTGTTCCCAGCAATGTGTCCATGTGTTCTCATCATTCAGCTCCCACTTTTAAGTGAGAACGTGTGGTGTTTGGTTTTCTGTTCTGGCATTAGTTTGCTGAAGATAATGGCTTCCAACACCATTCATGTCCCTGCATGGGACATGATCTCATTCCTTTTCATGGCTGCATAGTATTCCGTGGTATACATGTACCACATTTTCTTTATCTAGTCTATCATTGATGGGCATTTAGGTTGATGCTATATCTTTGCTATTGTGAATAGTGTTGCAAAAAATATTGCAAATTATATTTATTTATTTATTTTTGAAATGGAGTCTCGCTCTGTTGCCCAGGCTGGAGTGTGGTGGTGCAATCTCAGCTCACTCCAACTTCCACCTCCTGGATCCTGGATTCAAGTGATTCTCCTGCCTCAGCCTCCCAAGCAGCTGAGATTACAGGCACATGCCACCACGCCCAGCTAATTTTTGTATTTTTAGTAGAGATGGGGTTTCACCATGTTAGCCAGGCTGGTCTTGAACTCCTGACCTCAAGTGATCTGCCTGTCTCGGCCTCCCAAAGTGCTGGGATTACAGGCGTGAGCCACCGCACCCAGCCACATCGCAAGTTTTAAATGCTAAAATAAGGGCCTCAATACTTTGAATCTCTTATGTTAGTCATATGATGACACTGTTTTTAACAAAGGAGTTTGTGCCCTTTACATTATCATACATGTTACATATTACTGAATCATAATCAAGGCTTTACATACCTTGTTATTTGTTAGTGGTCTCTGTCAGCTAGGGGGCTAGAGCTCCACAAGGGCAGGGATTTCTGTCCTTTTGTTCAGTGATACATAATAAGCACCTGGAACAACACCTGACACATACTAGGCACTTAATATGGATTTATTTAATGGATGGATGGATGGGTAGATGGATGGATGATTGGATGGAGCCATATTCCCTACTAGATTACTAGATTGTAAACATCCCAAATAAACATTCTGGAAAAAGTAATACATGTACGTTGTTAAATACAATTCAAACAACCTATAAGAAAAGTATGAGACTCATTAGGGAAATTTGAACAGTGAATAATTGATGATATTCATAAAACACTGCTTGTTTGTTTAGGTGTGGAATGTATTGCAGTTATGGTTTACATATTTAACTACTTAAAGACACAATGACGGCTGGCGTTTGTTTCAAAACAATCTCAAGGCAGAGGAAGAGCAGTGAGGGAGATATGGATGAAACATAATCTACCATGAGTTGACCATTGTTTTGGGATAATGAGTGCATGAAAGTTTATTACACTGTCGTCTCTACTTTTGCTTAATATACTTAAAAATACTTAATTGTATTTTTTTCATAATAAAAACTTAAATATTCAAGTGTTACAGAATGGCATAGAGTTAAAAGCAAGACTCCGTCCCATCTCTGAACTCTTACCCCTACATCCTCTCATTTCCAGCTCATTCATTTAAAAAAAACATTCTTAACTACAAGCACCTAAAATATACCAAGCCCTATTGTAGTCGCTGGAGCTATAGCTGTAAGCAAGCGCTCGCATGCCAGTGTAGAAACAGACAATAAATAAGTTGATAAACAAATATATAAGACAATTTCAGAGATTGATAAGTGCTCTAAGAAAACAAAACCAGTTCTCCCCAAAGCAACCAGTGTTTCCAGGTAGTCTAGGCATTTAGCCACACATGTGTGTGTGTGCGTGCATGTGCACATGCGTGTGCGTGTGTGTGTGTGCATGTGTGCGTGCTCATGTATCACATACCCTTTTATTGCTCAGATGGGAGCATCCATGCTGTTCTATACTTTGCTTCTTTCCTTGAAAAATACATCCTACAGTTAAGTCTATACCCAGACTGTGACCTTTCAAGAGCAAGGGCCACATGAACTCACCCAGTGCCTGTCAGACCCACAGCAAAAGCTTGATAAATTTAATGCCTGATTGAAAGTCTTTCCAATCAAAAACTGGTTAAACAGCAAATACTCTGCCTTCTCACCCTCTCTGTACCTTGCCTCTCCTACTCCAAAGGTAGGATCCAAGGGAGGTTTGCAGAGCTGTGTGGTGCCTGGCATATGGAGAGCTTTCAATCAATGTTTGCTAGAGGAATTCAGAGTGGGATAAGAATTACAGCAAGGCAAAGACTGTCAGACAAACTTCTCCTTAATGAGAGCTGGGCATCTGGTGTGCTGCGCCAGGAAGAAAATGTGTGCCGGGTCCCCAGTGTGGACAGGTGTTCTCTGGCATTTGGAAGCAAAGCTAAAGCTCAGTTTACGGTGCATGCCGCATGGCCTAGTCTGGTTTTGGTTTTTTGCTTTTTGTTTTTGTTTGTTTCCTTCACCTGCTCTAGCTGCTACAGCCTTTTGATAATGCTGTGTTTGCCCTAAGAATCACCTTTAATTCTCAGCAGATCCCAGAGAGATGAACATGGAATCACTGGGCGATCACTTACCTCATGGTTTATTTCCTGAAGGGCTTGACTCTTATAAGATCCAAGATGTCACGTTAATTTTTAAAAATGTATTCTCAGTAGTCATATTGATTCTGTTGTTGTTTTTCTGGAAAGCATTAATAGCAGAAAGGCCACATGAGTTCAGTGGTCACCCAGACCATTTGAGCCCCAAACCTTGCTTAATCTTGAATGGCCTGAGAAAGGTTAGAGGTATTTGACTATTTTCTTAAAAATAAAATACCTGAGTTATTGATAAATACAAAAAAAATGGAGTGAAGGGGAAGAATGACCAACCGTAAATTGGAACTTATTTACTTATTTCCTAGCATTACTCATTTTAGGATAATGCCTATTTGTGTAAACAGAGTTGAAGAACATGAGGATATTCTTCCTGCTACTATATCCAGGTCAATGTGTGATGCTCCCTTTGCTCATCATATTTGTTTAAAAGATTGGAAGATTATTCCAACAAATTGACCTAGAGACCCCTTTTTCACAGCCCAAGATACTTGTAAAACTCTCCTTTTAAAATATCCCTACAAGATCTCATTTGACATAACATTAGTGTTAGGTTGAGTGGGAGCTCAGGTCTTTCCATGATGGTTGTGTGTGCTGGGTGAGTTATATCAGTTTGTGTGAAGAGAGGGAAGTGAATATGAGCACACAGAACATAGCAACAGAGGCTGGAGAATGCCTGCAAGTTTGAAATAGGAAAGGAAGATACCAAAGACATTTTCCATCAGGTTAACCATCAAAATCATCATAGAAAGAAGGACTGGCCAAAATGCTTGAGGTCTGCTCATGTAAACACATCTGTTAGTCAGCTGGGACTGCTATAGCAAAATACCACAGGCTGGATGGCTTATACAACAGACATTTATTTTCTGAGATCAAGGTGCCAGCATGGTTGGGTTCTGGTGAGGGCTGTCTTCCAGGTTTGCAGACAGCTGTCTTCTTGCTGTGTGCTAATGTAGGCTTTCCATGGTGTCCTATTGTGGAGAGAGAGAGATCCATCTCTCTCTGACTTCTTCTTCTTATAAGGGCACTAATCCCATCATGAAGGCCTCACTCTTGTGACCTCATTTAACCCTAACTACCTCCCAAAGGACTTTTAATATTATCACACTGAGGGATCAGGGCTTCGACATACAAATTTGGTGGAAGGGACACAAATATTTAGCCCAAAATAACACTGGAGTAATTTTAGCACTTTACACGTTTATTTCATTTGGTTGTTGTGAGAATGTATGTATATCACGAAGCCCTTTACAAGTTTGCTTTGGATTGATTATTCACTTGACATTCAAGAAATATTTCTTATCATTTACTCTGTGCCTGGTGCAGTCGTAGGCCTTGGAGAATTCAGCAGGAAAAAACAGATATGGTCCCTGTCCTCAAGGAGCTCACAGTTTAATGGGAGAAAGGAAGAGGCAATGAATAAACAAACAAACAAAGAAGAAAGTAAATACAAACAAATCAATCACTTGTGATTTGGCTTTGAAGGACAAAAACAGATGTAGTCCTAGAGAAAAGGATGGGGAAGAGGTGATTAGGAAAGGCTTCTGAAAAGGTGACATTGAAGCTGATACCTGAAAGATAAGAAGCCTGCCCTGTGGAAAATGCAAGAGTGTTCCAGCAGATGGAACAGCAGGTGTGAAGAGCTCCAGGCAGAATAGAGGCTAGCATGTTCTAGGAACCAAAAGAGGTTCCTGTGTCTGGAACGCAGTGTATGATGGGGAGAATACAGCATGAGGTTGGGGGGATTGGGAGGACAAATTGCAGGGGGCCTTGTAGGCCAAGGTAAGGCCTTCATTTTATTCTAAGGATGATGGGAGCTGTTATAGAGCATAAGCTGGGGAAAGAGGTGGTTTGGTTCATGGGACTTGTTCACTGTCATGAGAAGCAGTCAGTAGATAAAGGTAAAGAAGGCAGGAAGAGACAAAGACGAAGCCAGAACCAATTTAGATACTTTGAGTAAATCAGTTTTCTTCTAGCCTTCGCGATCCTAGAAAACTATATGTAGACTTAGTGTTGTTTGAAAATCATTTTTCAGGTGATGAAGGGACTGTGCATTCAGCAGACATTTGTGGAGTGTCTACCCAGATGTGCTATGTGGTGGTAGCACAAAGATTGAATAAGACAAAAATCCTGGCCACCAAGAGCACTTAGGCCAGTCAAGGATACTGACAAGCACACCAAAGACACTCAAAGAACATGTGAAGAGCTCTGAGAAGAGTAGTTAAGGAGGAGGAGGAGGAGGACTCTGAAGATCGAGTCCTGCCAGGGAGGGAAGGCAGCAGGAAAGGTCTTGTTCAAAAAACAAGTGCTGCATGAGCAGATTCCTTAAGGAATGAGGAAGACTTTTCCCAGGTGGATGGAGTTAGATGTGGAAAAGCAGGCAGCGGGAACAGCACACACAAATATTCGGAGATAAGTGAGCCGCGAGCGTGAAAGCCACTGTGACAGCTTGTGTGGTCAGAGCGCTGGGCCCCAAAGGGGAGTGACAATGAGGATCTTCTCTACCAATAAGAGGGGAAGAGGGAAGAAAGCTAAGATGAATTTCTTTAGAAGACGTGTGAAGAACAGTTTGGAAGTAGAATAAAGGCAAAGTAGAATCAGATGCAACAGCCCAGGTAACAATACACTAGTCACGTCTAAGGCAAGATGATAAGCCTTAAAAAGGTAAGACCACATGACAGTCTTCACCGTATTCCCTTGAGCACCAGGTACAAAACCAAACACGCAATATTTTCTTAAATTATTATTAAATTGCATTGAGTAAATATAGTACCCTCACACTGAGGGATCAGGGCTTCCACATATGAATGAATTAGAATTTGTATATTCTAATATACAAAATGTCCAGTTCTAGATTCAGGATAAGATATTACCCTACCACAGAGAGGCAAAGCACTAGGTGCTATTTTTACATATTTATAAGGCCCAAACAGGTTAATGCATATTCTTGACATCACAGATTTATTTCTATGTTAATTTACTTTCAGAAAGCATGTATAACCATAATATACATGGGGAAAAAGTAATTTTATTCATGTGTTTGGACATAAAAAATATCATTATGCAGTCTAATAATCCCAGTTGACAGTTAGAATCATTAAAAAAAAACAGATATATTAAGAAAATTCAAGAAAAGCAACAACCACACTATGGTCTGGCTCCTCTGTTTTGTTGGGTGGCACTGATTTATACCAGCAGGCACAGTCATTTACAAGTCCATTTTGTGATCAATGCCTGGCCTATTTGCCTATATACAGCATTATGAAAAGTGCAGGCAGGCCTGCTAAAGAATTTCAACGGCCTAGACTTTGCAGGCAAGTGAAAAAGAAGGGTTTTTTGTTGTAACCTGTTATGTTTACATTTTTTTCTACCCTACGGTGACAGCACAGGTTTGGGGTCCCTGGTTACATACCAATGTACTACTATATATACCATTTAAAAATTCAAATGGGGTTAGTTTAGATGTTGATTCAGATCTTCTCCAAAATAGGAAAGGGCATTTTTATTCCTTTTGGATGATTCAAATCTTTTCCAGAATAGAAAAGGGCATTTTTAGTCAGTTTGGATAACTTTGAGATTTTTCTAGATAAATTTAATCTGTAAGGGACGAAAGTCGATCGGGAATTATCTCTGCCAATGACTTGGTCCAGCCAGTGAGCTTGTGAGTAAATCCTGCTTCTTCTCCACATAACTTAATTCCCACATTTCCCTCCACTTCCACTGAATGAAAAGAGAAGATGTTTCCACCATAGGAAACCACAGATAATTGAGAGAACTTTCTAAGATAGTTTTTCCTTTCTTCTTTTTATCCTCACTTTCTCTCCCCACTCAGAGCTTAAACAAGTGATACATCTCTGGCTTTCCTTGCAGCCCTCCTCCCCGCCCCTCCTTTTGGATAAGCCTCAGCTTCGTGGCCTGGCATGCCGGAGAAACTGGTTCTACACACCCAGGGGGAAAATGACAGCTTTTCACCGCAAGCTGCTCAGCTCATAAATAGCGAGGGGTAGCGTCCACACACGTCTCGACCTGCCTCTTTCCAAACGCCTGTACAGCCAGCATGGCAGGAAAGTCTTCAGAGAACATTAACAGCTCTTTACATAACTTTCTGTAAAGCAGCTTAGTAATGTTTGCAGCCTAAACAGCCCACAGGTGACAGCTCTGCCATTCTAATGCCTACAAGTGAATGACCAGCTCAACTGGGTGGTTCTTTCTTCTTCCAGAGTGGCCCTGGGAGACAGGGAGAGGGAGAAAAGAACAGAGGTGAGCGGAGAGAGAAGTTAGCTTAGTAAAGAATGAAGTGTCCACAAACCTGGCAAAGGGCCTATGATTTTATGCCTTGAGGTAAGAAAGTCAACTGCTTTTCCTGGAACTTGGTCTAAATTTAACACCCGCTTTTGCAAATGTCTGCTGTACGGTGAGTTGTGTGAGCTCATGGTGGAAAGTGACAAAGTAGGTACACAGCTGATATAATTTATTTATAAATGCATGAGTGCCGAAAGGAGGTAAAATCATGCAGAGTTGATTTAGCTGTTGTGTTGTTCACGGAAAACATGTTGCACACCAACAAAACACACAGATGCACATCTAAATTATTTTAAAGATCACATTTAAACCTGGAAAATACCAGTGGCTTTTTAACTTTATCACATCATAGTTAGGGCTTTAAAAAATGAATCTATTATTGTTTCCTTATGAGACTATAAGAGAAATAATGAATATTAAAATGAAGGTACTTAGTTGTCCTTTAGTATTTAAAACTACCAGGAAAGAAAAAGAAAAACAGTTTAGGTTAAGTTTAAGGAAGGAAAGGAAAAGGGGAAAAAATAGGTTGTCATTTTCAGATTATCATTTCATTTTACTTTAATAAGATTTTTAGGTGGTGACTGTTTTGTTTGTTTGTTTGTTTTGCAAGCTCAACAGTATAACAACAGAACTTAAAGATCTTCGGGTTTGAGAGGAATTATTAAGGGCTAGACCTGTTTTATGTATTGCTTTTAATATACATTTCACAGCATTTACTGCAGTAATCTCTTTGGGGAAATTAGCAATGGAACAATTTCTATATTTAAGAACCATAAGCCTCCATGTATGTTGAATTAACCTATTGTATAACCACAATACTAACAGCAAGGAAAAAGATTTTATTAAAATAGGGTTATTGCACCTTTTTATTTTTCTCTACTCCACTCAGCAGAATCTTAGAAAACTCTTCCATAACCTTAACTTTATCTTCAAACATAAAGTGATTACATGCTTTCGATATACTGTGTTTTTGCTTTTGTTGATAAATAGCTTTCCTGTAAGAAATGGATCATGACAATCAGAAATTAGATAATTGTAAACAAATTATATTTTACTGATAAAAATACAACCACGAATATGAAGACACTTAGAAACAGAAAAAGAGCAAGTTACATTTTCCATACATCAATATATAAAAACAGCCAGAAGAAATTTTTTCAAAATCAGGAAACAGTTCCTGGTCTATAAGGTATAAATCCTAACTCTTTACCAAATGTATAATTCTATGTTTTAAAAAATATTAAAAATTAAAAATTGGCTATGAAAATAGCAATTCATATTATTGTGGAGATTTATATACAATGGGAATCAAATGAGAAAGAAAATATTATATTCTTATTTGTATAGCAATGAAAACAACAGAATAAATCTGGAATTAAAGCTGGTCTTTAAAACAATTTCAGTGTAAAGTTAAAGCATTTATTCTACTGCATATATTTTATAATCTACATAATGCCTAACTCTTGCCCAAGATGAGCTTTCTGCACAGATAGATACTTAAAAGCTACTTTTTAGAGACACTGCTACTCAAGATTTATCATTAAATTTATTCCTTCTCCCTTTCCATTATGGATAAATGTTCTTGAGATCTAGAGAAAAGAACTTCCTGCTTCCTCCAGAAAGTAAACTAAATCAGAAATAAAGAAGAAATAAATATAACAACCCAATAGAAAAAGTACAGAAGTCATCTGTAGTTATACACTTTGGCTTCAAATGAAGAGATAAGCAAATTAAGACCTCCCAGGAAAATCCATGCCACTTCTTACACAAAACCCAAGCCACTACTTGGACATTGAGTTAGTTCAGTGTAGACTTTCTGCCAGACATAATGTATTTGATAAAGCTTCTGGCTTTTTATCTTCAGACTTGGTTTGCTATATTAATTCAAGAGTCTCAGGAATATGAGAAACAATGGCAATAATTCAAAATTTTTCATTATCTGTTCTTGGATATGTCTTCATTTGTCATAACTGTAGGGCTGTAATAAAGGAGCTGCTTCTGTCTTCTCATATAAATTTGGGTTTATTCTTTCTCAGTACTAGTTTCAGTCTTGGACTCCCCTGGCCTGAGGGAAGGGTCTGCGCTCCTTCTCACCCAGGTACCCTCAGCTGGATGTATTTATTACCTCCCACACCAAGACCACCTTGGTCTCTGATCTTTCCAGCCTCAGAACCCATCTCTTCACCTCAGCTATCATCACACCGTTAGTGAAAGGGTGAGGGAGCGCCAGACTTTTTCACACTGAAACTGATCACAAATTCATAGAAAACCCAGAGCCAAGATTATGCAAACCACAGTTTATAATGGAAGCCATTTCTATGTTAAAAGAAAAACCTTAGACAAATTGAATTTACCAGAGTTTAATTGAGCAAAGAATGATTCGTGAATCAGGTAGCCCCTGAACCAGAACAGGTTCAGAGAGACTCCAGCACTGCCTCCTGGTCAAAGAAGAATTATGGACAGGAAAGCGGAAGTGACTACAGAAAAAGGAAGTGAGGTTGCAACTGGGTGTTTGCCTCATTTGAACATGGTTTGAACAGTTGGCCGCCTTTGATTGGCCAAAACTCAGTGATTGGCATGAGAGTAGGTTACAGTCTGTTAACACATCCAGTTAGGTTACAGTTCACCATGCGCGAAGAAACCTTTAGGCTGAACTTAAAATACATAAGGAAGCAGGTTTAGGCTAAACTTAATTTAACACCTATTGAAAAATACAAAAATCCTAAAGCAGGATTCACTATAAATATTTATTTCCAGAATTCCTTTCCTTCCCCTTCTTTGTGGCTTTGCCTATGTTCTTCCTAAAGCCAGGGAACATGCTAATTAGGATTAAAAAGGCCACAGTCTTATCAGTCTTTGGTAAGGCTTTGTTAGCATAATAACCAAAGTTATAAGAGTTGTTTGATATTAACAAGAGAAAGGACTGTTTGTCTTGTCGATTTTCACTCAAAACGATGCAGATGATCACCCTTCCTGCTCCCATATTCATCAAGGGAAAAACTAGAATGTATTTATTGAATGGTGAGTTTGAACCCTGGAATAAAGGCTAAAACCAAATGGGCAGTGGGGAGTATAACACGGAGATCTCAACAGCGGACTCGCTAATGCCCTTGGGAGGGAGCATCTGAATGGGCAGTTGACTCCTGGGCTTTTACATTGGCTGGCTTCTCTTCCTAGAACCTTCTTCTCCCTTTTAGGTTATAAAATACTCTCACCTTCTTCTAGTCTTTGCTAAAATGTTTATATTTTGATGGGGCCTCCCTTGACCATGCTATTTAACATTGCAAACCACCCTTCAGTCCTCCACTATAGATTCCCTGTTTCTTTCTACTACCTACCCATCACCTCCTAACTCTATACTCTATTACACTAGATCATGTGCTTTTTTATTAAGTTTTCATTTATTGTTTGTCTCTTCCCAACCACAAGAGGATAGACTGTTTTGGTTTGTTTTGTTTATTCATGTTCCCTAATTTTTCCAAGCATCTCTAACAGAGCCTATGGATACCATTAATTTCTATCTACTCATAGACTCCATACCTCAGGCCATTTCAAATATTACCAGTGTAATTAAGTAAGGGGTTACATTTAGGTTATCATCCGCCCCCCCGCCCAAAAAAAAAGCCATGATGGCAATACATAGCTGAACAGCTCAGTCTACCATTTTTAGTCTCTTAGCTCAGAATTTTCAATATCTATCAGTTTCCCACCAATCCCTACATTGCCACCAATAACTGAGATTTCCTTTTTCAATCTGCAAGTTATTGCTAACAAGCGATCATTGATTAACTGTGTTCATTAAGCAGTCTATTGAAAAGAGAGAATCTTAGAAAAACAAAAATAAATATAAAAGGTCATCTCACCATGAATTACTGCCACCACACCACCAAAAGAATAACAGTGAGAAGAAGGGAAAGAGAAGAAAGAAGCAGAGGAAGAGAAGAGATGTTAATATATTAATCATTTACATTGGAAAATGATCCTCCTAAATGCTGTTATCAGTTCATATACCATCACTATCAACAGTCATACTTCAGTTTTGGGTTTTGTTTTTTTTTTTTGTAATTTCAAAGAAAAAATGTGAGATAGGAAAAAAATGAAAACACATCATGAGATAGGGAGAAATTTGAGGTCTCAAGTTGACAAACGGAATGTTCATTTTGGTTTTTAAAAATTTAAATAACTTTTTCACTGACACTTGCAGAACAGAAATTATTTTTTAAATTATGCCTCTAAAAGCCAGAAGACGTAATCATAGCACTTTCTCTATTATTCTCACCTCTAAATGTTCATTCGTTTATTTATGTATTTATATATTTATTTATTTATTTTTAAGGCAGCTCCTCCCTCTGACTCCCAGGCTGAAGTGCAGTGGTGTGATCATAGTTCACTCAGTGTTGACTTCCTGGGCTCAAACGATCCTCCCATGTCAGCCTCCTGAGTAGCTGGGACTACAGGTGCAGGCCACTACCATTGGCTAATTTTTATTTATTTATTTATTTATTTTTGTTTTTGAAACAGAGTCTCTGCCACCCAGGCTGGAGTACATTGGCACGATTTTGGCTCACTGCATCCTCCGCCTCCTATGCTCAAGTGATTCTCATGCCTCTGCCTCCCGAATAGCTGGAATTACAGGCATGTGCCACCACACCTGGCTAATTTTTGTGTGTGTGTCTGTGTGTGTGTGTGTGTGTGTGTGTGTCTGTGTGTGTGTATTTTTAGTAGAGATGGAGTTTCAACATGTTAGCCAGGCTGGTCTTGAACTCTAGCCTCAAGTGATCCACCCACCTGGGCCTCCCAAAGCGCTGAGATTACAGGAGTGAGCCACCACACGCAGCCTATTTTTTATTTATTTGTTTGTTTGTTTGTTTTATTTTTATTTATTTATTTTGCAGGGATGGGGTTTCACCATGTTGTCCAGGCTGGTCTGGAACTCCTGAGCTCAAGTGATCCGCCCACCTCAACCTCCCAATGTACTGGGATTACAGGAGTGAGCCACCGTGCCCATCCTGTGGTTGAGATCTTATGTCTCTCTATATTTGCATTCAATATAACTTCTACTATTTTGTTTGGCACAGATATACTTTGTTAAATTTATTATCGGGAGGTAAAAAATATCAGACTGATTTTGACAACTCTCGGGTTCTCGAGTAAGACTTCGAAATTCATAAAGAAAAAGCATTTCCAATTTTCTGTTGCAGATCATGTAAATACTAGAGTGGAGTCTAAAATCTCCTGCCTGTGAACTGAGCCCATGACCCTGCATAAATCATTTGATCTGCTCTGGTTCCCATAATTCTATGCTTATTTATAAATACAGCTGAAAGACTATTAATTTCTTCACCAGGCACAGGTAAAGGAGAGGAATGGGAGCCAGGGCAAAGGATGTTGAGCCAAAGCCAATGTAAACTAAGGCGAAGAAGCCAGTACTGTCATTTGCTATTCAGCACCTGTTTAGTTATTAGTAGATATCAGATGTGTCACTGTAAGATTCTAAGCAAAGGGCTAGAGAGAAGATACAGGAAATTTTAGCCCTGTGGGTTAAGGCTCAGTAGAATGATTTGAACAATATTCAAAGGATGAATCAATGAATCAACATATGAGAGATTCAAAATGCAAATATTTAAAAATCAAATAGGAAAATAAAGAACTCTTTGAGTCAATTTCAAATATTTAGCTCCTGAAAATTTAAATAAATGAAGTTTTCACCTGAGCGCAGCAGCTCATGCCTATAATCCCAACAACTCGGTAAGCTGAGGTGGGAGAATGGCTTGAGGCCAGGAGTTTGAGAGCAGTCTGGGCAACAGAGTGAGATGCCATCTCTAAAATAAATAAATTCATTAATTAAATAAATGAAATAAATTCAGCCCGGCATGGTGGCCCATGCCCATAGTCACAGCTACACAGGAGGCTAAGGTGGGAGAACCACTTGCGCCCAGGAGTTCAAGGCTGCCGCGAGCTAGGATTGCAGCACTGCACTCCAGCCTGGGCAACAAAGCAAGACCCCAGCTCTAAAAACATAAATAAATAAATAATAACAATAATAAAGCTTTTCCTGAAAATTAAAGGTATAGGAAAGTGACAGAGGAAATAGGACTTATACAGGTATTTAAATGAGTATTATATGTTTATTGTGGCAATTTTATAGTAACTGAAACTAACAGAAACCACAAAAGGAGATTAATCAAATTATAGTACTTCATACAATAAAATACTACACATCTGTAAAAATAATGTAAAGAAATTTTTTACATCATGGGAAAGTCTTTTCAATACAATGTTAAGTGGAAAAAAGGTCTACAAATGAGTACATATATATATAATGAGTATATATACAAATGATGGTATACAAATATATATTACAAATATATACAAATATGTACAAATATATACAATTGTGTATATATACGAATGAGAACATATATAATGAAGCCATTTTTATAAATAAGAAAATAAACGTGTATCTGTATACAGATGTTAGCCATTATGTCTCTATTAACTAATTATTTATTAATTCTAATGTATATTTACAACAAATATGTATTATAATTGTCTTCTTAAGAAACAATATGTGTATATATATGTGTGTGTGTGTGTGTATATATATATAGTTTTTTTTTAATATTGTTGTGGTGGTGGGCAGAATAATGGTTCTCTAAAGATGTCTATGTCCTGATCCAAGGAACCTGTGACTGTGATGTGGTGTGTTCACAGCAAAGCAAAATTAAGAATGTGGATAGGGCTGTGGTTGTTAATCAGCTGACCTTAAAATATTATCCTGGATAGGTGCAATATAATCACATGAGTTCTTAAAAGGAGAAGCAGAGGATTAGAGAAGGACATGAGAAGGACTCACTTGTTGTATTAGCCTGTTTTCACACTGCTATAAATAACTGCCTGAGACTGGGCAATTTATAAAGGAAAGAGGTTTAACTGAATCACAGTTCAGCATGGCTGGGGAGGCCTCAGGAAACTTACAATCGTAGTGGAAGGCAAAGGGGAAGCAAGGCACCTTCTTCACAAAGCAGCAGGAAGGAGAAGTGCCAAGTGAAAAGGGAAGAGACCCTCATAAAACCATCAGATCTCGTGAGAACTCACTCACTATTAAGAGAACAGCATCGGGAAACTTCCCCCATGATTCAATTACCTCTACCTGGTCTCTCCCTTGACATGTGGGAATCAGGGGGATTATAGGAATTGCAATTCAAATAAGACTTGGATGGGGACACAAAGCCTAACTATATCACCTGCCTTCACTGGCTTTGAAGTTGGAAAAAGGAAGCCACAAGCCAAAGAATGCAGTGGTTTCTAAAAGCTGGTAACGCCCCTCAATTAATAGCCAGCAAGGAAATGGAGACCTCAGTTTTACAACCACAAGGAACTGAGTTCTGTGAACAACCCCAGGAAAGAGCAAACAAATTCTCCTCTGGAGCCTCTAAGAGAGGAACGGAGTCAGCCTACACCTCGATTTTAGTCCAGTGAGATCCGTGTGGGGCTTCTGACCTACAGAACTCAGATGATAAGTTTGTCTTGGTTTAGGCCTCTACATTTGTGATCCTTTGTTATGGCGGCAAGAGACAACTAACACCATCAGAAAGGGTTTGGAAATGCAGAGAGAACAAGGAGAATTAATTTCACAAATGAGGAAGACTCAGTAGAAATACACCATATATGAGAGATTCAATAGGATCAAAGGTTAATAGAAGGGAAAGAGACAAAGATGGAAAGATCCAGATTACAGAAAGCCAGAGGCACAAATCTGGATGATAAGGAAGTCAGAGAAGATCGAGGTGGTGCATGTCAGTGAGAGGTGACAGCGTGCTCACCTCTGAGGGCTGCGCTCTGAGGGCAGTCCTCAGAGCCCTCGCTCGCTTTCGGCGCCTCCTCTGCCTGGGCTCCCACTTTGGAGGCACTTGAGGAGCCCTTCAGCCCACCGCTGCGCTGTGGGAGCCCCTTTCTGGGCTGGCCAAGGCCGGAGCCCACTCCCTCAGCTTGCAGGGAGGTGTGGAGGGAGAGGCGCGAGCGGGAACCAGGGCTGTGCGCGGCGCTTGCGGGCCAGCTGGAGTTCCGGGTGGGCATGGGCTTGGCGGGCCCCGCACTCAGAGCAGCCGGCGAGCCCTTGCTGGCCCTGGGCAATGAGGAACTTAGCACCCGGGCCAGCGGCTGTGGAGGGTGTACTGGGTCCCCCAGCAGTGCCAGCCCACCGGCGCTGCGCTCGATTTCTCACCAGGCCTTAGCTGCCTTCCCGCGGGGCAGAGCTCAGGACCTGCAGCCCGCCATGCCTGAGCCTCCCAACCCCTCCATGGGCTCCTGTGCGGCCGGAGCCTCCCCAACGAGCGCCACCCCCTGCTCCACGGCGCCCAGTCCCATCAACCACGCAAGGGCTGAGGCGTGTAGGTGCACGGCACTGGGGCTGAGGCGTGTAGGTGCACGGCACTGGGACTGGCAGGCAGCTCCACCTGCAGCCCAGGTGCGGGATCCACTGGGTGAAGCCAGCTGGGCTCCTGAGTCTGGTGGGGACGTGGAGAACCTTTATGTCTAGCTCAAGGATTGTAAATACACCAATCGGCACTCTGTATCTAGCTCAAGGTTTGTAAACACACCAATCAGCACCCTGTGTCTAGCTCAGGGTTTGTGAGTGCACCAATCGACACTCTGTATCTAGCTGCTCTGGTGGGGCCCTGGAGAACCTTTGTGTTGATACTCTGTATCTAACTAATCTGATGGGGACATGGAGAACCTTTGTATCTAGCTCAGGGATTGTAAATGCACCAATCAGCGCCCTGTCAAAACAGGCCACTGGGCTCTACCAATCAGCAGGATGTGGGTGGGGCCAGATAAGAGAATAAAAGCAGGCTGCTCAAGCCAGCAGTGGCAACCTGCTCGGGTCCCCTTGCACACTGTGGAAGCTTTGTTCTTTTGCTTTGCTCTTTGCAATAAATCTTGCTGCTGTTCACTCTTTGGGACCACACTTCTTTTATGAGCTGTAACACTCACTGTGACAGTCTGCAGCTTCACTCCTGAAGCTAGCAAGACCATGAGCCTACTGGGAGAAACGAACAACTCTGGACGCAGTGCCTTAAGAGCTGTAACACTCATCGCAAAGGTCTGCCGTTTCACTCCTGAGCCAACAAGACCGCAAACTTACCAGAAGGAAGAAACTCTGAACACATCCGAACATCAGAAGAAACAAACTGCAGACGCGCAACCTAAAGAGCTGTAACACTCACCGCTAGGGTCCGCGGCTTCATTTTTGAAGTCAGTGAGACCAAGAACCCACCAATTGCGGAAACATCAGCTCTCCTCAACCTTAGAGGAGTGCACCAAGAAGAAGCTGCCTTCAGAAAATAAAATGGAAGGCTGCTGGAGGAGTGGGGGAGGGGGGAACAGACTTTCCCTGGGAAATACGGAGGAGATTTTCTAAAGGCTTAAAGCAGCCCTGCGTGGGCACTGGTAATCTGGAAAGCTAAAGAGAAGTTAATTTAAAAGGTGGCCAGTCAGCTGCAAGCCCTAGCAGAAGAAGTCTGTGCTCAACTGAACCAACAGCACTCATTGGCCCGGCAGCCAGTTGCTGGGGTGAGCCTCATTCATTGATGGAACTGGTAAAAAGCCATGGTAAAAGCTACATGTAATCATGATTGCAGGGAAAAAATGATAAGCTAGTCCTAAAGCTCATTCATTCTCAGTCTTATTGTTCCAGTTTAGGATTCAGCAAGGAGGAATAGCTAAAACCATTTAATCGTTCCTTCAGAATGAGAGCCTGTGTTCTTCGAATTTACTCTGCCATACACAAGCAGTATTTGTGTAAACAGCAGCTTACTGGTCTTGCATATACCCAGATCTAAAGAAAGTGAATGACTGTATTGAATTTTTTTTTTCTTGTTTGTTGCTTCATTACATGAAGTTTGGATCAAAGCCTACATTTAATATAAATAAAAGTTGATCTGCTAAAATATTATGAAAAAGATCATTAAATCCCAAGAAAGTAGCTATTTCTAGAACCTAAAATTTTCTGTTTTTCTGATAGACTGCCAGCAGCTCTTTGTTTGGATTAGAATTAAGTGTCTGCCAAATTGGAAACTGTAAAACTCAATCTCAAAAGATTTTTTTTTTTTTTTTGGTAAATGTAATGGAAGACTAAGCAGCTCTCCTCAAAAATTCACCCCAGTAAACAAATGAGTATTTTCTACATAAAAATTCTGTGAATTTATAAGCCAGCTACTCCCACAAAATTGTGGGGGAAGGAGGAACAGAAGAAAGGTCCAATACAACCTTATTTTCTGGAGGCAATTCCAAGGGTTCCTGGAGTTCTAGAATAAGGTGCCTTGGGGAGGAGTAAAATTAGAGGTGATTGAGTTGTTACAGGGCTCCAGCCTAGAGCATGACAATCAGCCCAGCATACCTAAATGCACCTTGAATCCAAATGAAGACCAGACCATCACTGCTGCCCTCCATGCTCCATGCTCTGGTGCTCAGGAATCAGGGAGATTTCCATGGTCACGGAGAGCTGGCCATGTGTCAGGCCTTTGCTAAGCACTTTCCCAAATACTAATTTATTCTCAAGAGCTGAAGGAGGCAGGTCATAGTATCCCATTTTTGTAGATGAGTAAGCCCCAGTATAGCGGATAAGGGTTTATCCCTCTTCAACCATGCGGTATAAAGTAAATCTCCAGTCATTCTTGGTTCCACTGTCCTGTTTGATTTCCTTCATTACATCTATCTCTACCTGGAATGATTTTGTCTATTTGTTTGCTTCTTTGTTCCCAGATTATGCTTAATAAATATGTATGGAGTGAATTAACGAATTTACCCAAGCCCCCACAATTGTTGGTGCCAGAGTAGAATTTGAACTCAGCTCTATCTGATTCCAAAGATAACTACATGCTTAAAGATTGTTTTATTTATAATCCCAGCATTTTGGGAGGCCAAGCCAGGCAGATCACAAGGTCAGGAGTTCAGGACCAGCCTGACCAACATGGTGAAACCCTGTCTCTACTAAAAATACAAAAATTGGCCCAGTGTGGTGGCATACACCTGTAGTCCCAACTCCTCAGGAGGCTGAGGCAGGAGAATTGCTTGAACCCGGGAGGTGGAGGTTGCAGTGAGCCAAGACTGTGCCACTGCACTCCGCCCTAGGCGATAGAGCGAGAGACTCAGTCTCAAAACAAACAAACAAAAAAAAACGATTGTTTTATTTAAAAAGAGCTACATAGATACTAATGAAATGACATGATGTCTGAGGTATGCTTCAATATATGTGGGGGTGGGGGAGTGTGTACATGAAACAAAACTGACCATACGTTGATAGTTGTTGAAGCCAAGTGATAGGTACAAGCAGGTTTATTGCACTATATTCTCTCTTTTTTGTATGTGCTTGGAATTTTCCATAGTAAAAGTTAAATTTAAAAAATAAACAGAACTTCAATACATTTTTAATTTCTGTCCTTTCCTCTCCTGCTACAATCTTTGTTATTGACAGTTTAAGTTCCATTCTCCTTCTCATGCTGTGGTATCTAAACAATTTCTATTCCCCTTCCTGCCTTTTCTTCTCCATTTCTCTGACTTATGTACAGTAGACAAAACTTTTATTTCTCCCTGAGCACTTCTACATGTAAAATATTGCCACATTCTCAATTCTATCTATTAACCAAAAAGCAGGAATTTAATTCCAAAACTGTTTATGTGCAAATCAGTGAGTTTATGTACAAGTTTAATATATTTAATGATTTTAAGGAAAATTTAAAATTCATGTATGCAAACAAATTGCAACACAGTATGCATCTGACTCATTGTTATTTAAACTCTTAAACATAACTTACATCATTATTCACTAAATGTTCTCCTGAGGTAAGCAAGCAAGCAGTAACACCTATTCAAGGCAATTGCAGGAAATAAGACTGGATTTAAACACCAAATAGGAGAGAAATTTATTGTTTTTGCTTTCACTCTTCTGATTTCTACCATCTTTCCAGCATTGTTGCAGGGGCAAGTGCCATTGATTTCTCAATGTATTTCCATTCTCTGATTCATCCTTGTCACCTGAACCCAAATGATGTTGGAACAGCAATGTGCCCAGCCCCAGATGAGATGTTCACTCTCTCACTCTCTCTTACCTCTAAGGATAGCTTTGTAAAATCATCTGGCTAATAAAATATACATGAAAGCTCACTTGTGCTCCGGAAAACCTTTAACACTTGCTCATGAAAGGAGACAGGAGTAGTTAGCATATCTCTCCACTACCACCCCCTAATACACACACACACACACACACACACACACACACACACACACACTTACTTTTCTTCCCATCTTGAATGTAGTTGTGATGACTGGAGCTACAGCAACCATCTTGCAGCCATGAAAATGGAATCAAACAAACACGGGATGACAGAGTGGAAGAAGGCAAGAAGCCTGGGCATCTAGTGGCATTGCAGGATGCCATTGAATCAATGCAAGCAGCCATTTACTTCTAGACATCTGTTTATATTCTTTAAATCAGGCCCTTTCAATACCTGCAATCAAATACATTCCTAACTGATATCATAATTTTTGCTGAAAACATTTACCTGCAGATTAATATTGATAAATTTAACAGAAAATCAGATTTGAAGATAAGGAGAGATGCTAAAGTGGATGGACCTTACACACATACATGCATAGATTTGTTCAGCTTGTGAAATTTACCCTGTGGCTTCAGGCAATTTTCCTGAGGTTCTGTTGGGTGTTTAAAAACATACAAGTCTCCATTTACTCAAAAGACTGTTTCATTCAGTAAAATGGGTACTAATCTAAACAGTGGAGGACACAAGGCATTCTATATTTTGCTATAAATAAAATTACACATTGTTAAATAAAATATATGCAAAATACATTCATTATCTGCTCCTTCCCTCATGGTATACCTCATCAGTTTCATGACCTCCCCCTACCCCCAGTTACCATTCCTTTTTCAGCTTGTCTTTTCTCTTCTCACCCTGATTGCCACCCACTAACACTTGATCTTCAATTTCTAATTCCTTCTCCCCAGAAATAATTGCTGGACTTTACACCCATCCTGTATCAGTTATTAGACCCTTTCCTTTGCTCAGTATTTACTGAGCACCTACTATGTGCTACCATATGAAGGGTGGGGTGCTGGCAGTGCACCAGTGAGGCCCCCTGTCTGGTAAATCTGATGCTGTAGAACCTCACAAATTCTCTCTTAAATGATATCTCAGGGTAGCTATTTATGCATTGAATTTTATACTTATGTGGCTGAAACTAATGTATATGAAGAAATCACAATGTTTTTAATGTTTCAAAACTTGACATTCCAGACTTGCTACTGCAAGGAAATAATTGGCAAGTGACCTTTAGATGCTTTAATTGGGTGACAAGCTTACTTGGATGATAATTCAAATGGTTCTGCATGTTTAATATGCGCTAAAAAGAAAAAGGTATGTTTGAGTATTTGAGATTCTTTCAGAAGGTATCAGCAGCTTACAAAATACTAGGTCTGAGCAATATAGACAAACACACGTATACACACATATATACACGTGTTTGAAAAATTATAGAATCTTAAACTTAATTCAAGCTTAGATATTAAAGTCCAATTCTATTCTTTGACATAGCAGAAAACTAAATCCCAAAAAGGTTCAGTGATTTAGTTAAGATTATAAAGCTAACAAATGTGTTAGGTTCAATTATTTCACTCATAGAGGAGGTTTACTATATAGGAGTCATCAAATCATGACTGAAAATGGACTCTCTGGCACTCCTGGGAAGAGAGAACTTTAGAGAAAGAAAATAGAACTCAGTCTGTTATTGAGGTAGAGGGGCCGTTGCAGTAGTTGGTTGGAACCATGGAAGAATGAAGATGGGCAGAGCTGTCCATCTTCTGTTTAGTTTTTGAAAGATAAACATATAGACACCATGTCATAACTGTACCCGTAACTGTGATTCGGGGATTGATTCTACAGTTAAAACATTTAAGGAAGAAATTGCAATACTTTTTCTGATAATGCAACATGCTCTGTTTTAAAGCCCTGCTTAGAATGAGAAATACAGAATTCTGCTGCAACTATGACTAAATAGTCTTTGAATCTAGGAATGAAATCAAGCTCATTTGTAACCTCTGTGTGTGAATACATCAGAGATTTCATGGGAAACATGAGTTAGAAGAGTTGAGACTAAGGAGAGGTTACCAATTTGTTCCCCAGTTGGCATTTCTTGGAATTTTTCTCCATGTAGTCATCACTGCTTTGGAATGCAGGCATGACATCTGAAAGGTACTCTGCACAGAAGATCTCAAGATGGCATTGGTAGATTTTTAGGGAGTCTCTGAATGTACCATACTCCCAGTGTCCACTTTGAGGAGAGAGGGCCCATCATTTTCATCAGATTCTCAAGGAAGTCTCTGACCCTAGAAAAGTTAATGATTCTAATAATAAACTTTGTGACTCCGAACTCACTTCATGGATAGAAACATGGTCAATGGGTAAATGAGGCCAGTGCACAATTGGGCTTCTCCCAGTTTCTCTCTCAATGTGAACACTAATTTATGCCAAGCAAGTAGAAAAGAAATATGCATTTCACTGATTTTATTACCTTTTCCTAAGGGTAGGGCCAAAAGGTGAAAAAATTAAGTTGTCAATAGGTACAATTTTGTACTTAACTTGTAAGAGAGCGAAAGTGTAGACAACGTGGAGTGCAGAACACGCAGATAAAATCATTATTTTATCCAGCACCGGCAGAACCCTCATAGCACTGTTCCTCGGCCTGGCCACAGTCGCCTAGGGTAACGTGCGAAAGTGTGTGGAAACCATGATTAATGGTTCTTACTTATCTCCTATTAAAATGCCTAGCGGCTTTTGAATATAGGTCCCTGAACGTTTTAAATTTATTAATTTATTTTTATTAGAATCAGTGTATCCTGACACTAAATTGCTTGAGCACCTTGCAAAAATTCTACAAAACTAATTTATAAATTAAGTTTTTCTGTCTATGCATGGCCTGGGCATTTCGTTATAAAGGATTCAACTTTCTGTTTTATTTAGAGCTTTTGTTTTTCCATGTATATTAATTACTTCCCAAACTGGCCATTTTCGTCTACCTTCCTCACTTCCATATGCACTTTTGAATGTGCCATGGGATTTTTTTTTTAGCATTATGCTGCCTGTGGTTCACAGGAAAAAGATACATTTGACTTTAAATAGAATGAAAATGATATTTTTTCACACTTCTGTTTAGTTTGGGAGAATGCAAACACATCGATATCATGAATGCTACATAAAATTGATTAACTCAACAAACATTTATTGTGTACCTACAAGGTGCCAGGAACTGTGAAGAATAATAATAATAATGGTAAGAAAAGCAAGTTTTTACCATGAGTGCACTATACCAAGTTTTGTGGTACATTCTTTATGTTGACTCTATGATTTAATTCTCACCATAATCCTATGAGCTGGATATTATTTTTAAGCCTCACTTTACAGATGGGGAAACGGAGGCAGAAAAGGTTAAATCTATTGTCCTGAGTCTTGCAGCTAAAAACTGGCAGAGCTGGGATTTGGGCTCAGGCAACCCCAACTAGACCGTCCATGTTTATACACCTGACCATCACTGTCTTACTCTGGAGGTAGCACAGGAAACAAAACAAATGGAACTAAAAAAATAAACAAATAAATAAAACTACACACAGGTTATTTCTTTTTTGTTTTCTAGAGAGTAGCCCAGTATTATGGAGAGAATTTTAAGACATATTATCACTTGATTCGTATTTTTAAAAATAATATAACAAAGGCCAGGCATGGCGGCTCAGGGCTAAAAAATTTGCCAGCACTTTGGGAGGCCAAGGTGGGAGGCTTGCTTGAACCCAGGACTTCAAGGCTAACCTGGGCAACACAGGGAAACCCCATCTCAAAAAAAAAAAAAAAAATAGCCGACCATGGTGGCACATGCCTGCAGTCCCAGCTCCTTGGGAGGCTGAGGTGGGAGGACCACCTGAGTCCAGGAGATTAAGGCTGCAGTGAGCCATGATCATGCCACTGCACTTCAGCCTGGGCAACAGAGTGAGACCCTGACAAGAAAATAAAAGGGAAAGAAAAGAGAAGACAACAGAAGAGAAGAGAAGAGAAAGTGAGAAAGAAGGAAAGAAAAAGACTACAAAGAAAAAAGCAAATTATGAGCTTTGAAATTTTTTTCTCTATGTCATATACTTCATATTACACTCAAATCTGTATTTATTAAATCATATTTCAGAATATCTGGAATCTCATTAACCATTCCCATAAATTCTGGCATACTCTTTCTTAATTGTGAGAAGGGAGGAAATCTAGCTTATGCATTTTCTACTGCTCAATTGTCACCAAGGGCAGAAATGAATTGAGAATATGAAAATCCATGGGGAAGGTCTTTAAGAAAGAAGTACAACCACTAGAAAAAATATGTGTGTTTTTCTTGCTCATCCGCAGCCACTCTGGCTTTTCACCCATGATACGGATGTGGTGGCAGGGAAGGTGAGCACCGGAGGCACAGCATCTCTCCATGGTCTGTGCAAGGCCGAAGGTGTGCACCTCACCACTTCGGAGCGCTGGCCAGGCGCCATGGGGAAGTGTCAGGACACCACATGAACGAAAGGTGCTTGCCAGGTTGCCAGACTGATAAGAGGAGAGTAAACACTATCTATTTCAAAAGGAAGCTTGTTGTGACAAGGTTTTTGGCCCATGTTCACTAAAGGATGATGTTTTCAGAGGAAAAAAAAAACTTTTTTGCATGAATTTCCATTCTCTTAAATTTTGCAAATACGTCCTCTGAAGTTGGTGCACCACACCTGCTGACAGGAGCCAACCATGTTCCCTGGCAGGATGAGGTGAATGCAAGCAGCAAGGCTTGAGCCATGGTGCGCTTTCAGCACCAGGGCCGTGGGCTCACAGACGCTTTCCTCACTGCCACCATCCAGGAATTTACATTCTAGACAACCCTTTCTTATGCCCTAGAGCTGTGTATCTTTGGATGCCTTGGCTTAAATTCAAATATCCCTTAAGGCATCATGAAACCTAGAATATATATAGTCCTGAAAGACTATTTATCCAAGAGTCTATAGGTAATTACAAAATTGTTTATAAAGAACTTTTATTAATGATGACTCAATGTATTAATCATGACATCATAATATTTTTAAGACACATGCTATAAATGTGAGGCAATGAGTGAAGTGACCTGCCTGACTGCAAATTATGATTGGTGGTGGCACTTCAGACTAACCCAGACCAATACAGACACAGTAGCATTGACCGTAAACATACATCAAAACGGAATCCATTGGGAGTTTCACCTGATAAAAGTCTCATACATTTCATGGAGCAAAGATCATTGTTTCTGAGACTATTTCAGAGACATTTGAAAAGGAAAAGTGCAGCCCGGGCACAGTGGCTCACGCCTGTAATCCCAGCACTTTGGGAGGCCGAGGAGGGGGTGGATCACCTGAGGTCAGGAGTTCGAAACCAGCCTGACCAATATGGTGAACCCTCGTCTCTACTAAAAATAAAAATTTGGCTGGGCATGGTGGCACGCATCTGTAATCCCAGCTACTCGGGAGGCCGAGACAGGAGAATCGCTTGAACCCGGGAGGGGGAGGTTGCAGTGAGTTGAGATCCGCCACCGCACTCCAGCCTGAGCAACAGAGTGAGACTGCTTCCGAAAAAAAAAAAAAAGAAAAGGAAAAGTGCAGTAACAATGTAACACTAATGGACATTTTCGCAAAGGCTAGTTTGCTATTTTTATACATCATTTGAGATTCTTTAACGACTCAAATGGGCTTGGGCCAAAAAAAAAAAAAAAAAAAAAGGTGGATGGGGAATGAATGTTTTGGCTTACATAACTGAAAAGTCCTGGGGGTAGAAAACTTCAGGCATGACTAGATTGAGGCACTCAAATGCTATTATGGGGAATGTGACTCTACATTACTCTCAGCTCCACCGTTTCTTTTCCGGGTCTATTCTCAGCCAGGCTCTCTCCATACATGGTGGTCAAGATGGCTTCCGGCTAGCCTCCTATCCACTAGCAACTCCGGTAGGAAGAGGATACCTCTTTCCGGCAGTGCAAGAAAATTGGGGCTGGATCTCATTGGCCTATTTTCAGTTATGTGACCAACCCAAAGCCAATCACTGCGGCCATTGTCATATCTTGTTCTACCCGTGGACCCAAGCAGTGGAGTCACCCTCACTTTAACCTTATGTATGTGTTTGTGAGGACTGCCATGACAAAGTACCACAGAGTGGAGGGGTTTAAACAACAGAAACTTCTTTCATGGTTCTGGCATCGGAAACTCCAAGATAAGGTGTCAGCAGGGTTGCTTTCTCCTAAGGCCTCTCTCCTTGACTTGCGGATGGCCATCTTCTCCCGGTGTCCTCACGTGGTCTTCCTTCTGTGTGTGTCTGAGTCCTCATCTCTTCTTATAAGGACACCAGTCAGATTAGGGCCCACCCTAATGACCTCATTTTAACTTAATTACCTCTTTCAAGGCCGTATCTCTGAATACAGTCACGTTCCAAGGTACTGGAAATAAGGACTTTAACATATAAATTTTGGGGGGGAATCAGCCTTAGAAGTTAAATTTTCTAAGAAAATTAGGACGCTATTCACAAAAGAGGGGAAAATTAATGCTGGGCAAGAAAAGTAACAAGGTTTGCCAAACCTTTCCTGTTTCTGCAGACACTGTCCCAGCGAATCTTGCAATGAGCTTGCTACAACTCTATTTAAGATACTCTTCCCAGTCCCTCAGGAATGCCAGCATGTGGAAGGTTAGCACCCTCAGTCAATAGTACTAGAAAGGAATTTTAATGCTTTCAAACCATATTCCCTAAGTGTGTTCCATTAAACATTAGCTCCAAGTGGGATTCGATGTTATTGAAAAAAAGGATTATGTGGTACAAGAAATGCTTTTGTTTTGTTTTGGAAATGCTCAACTCAAATTAGACACATTTCTAGACCATAGGAGTTTCCAGGCCCTTTTAATATGCTAATAATCTTTGTGAATCCCCAAGAATGATCGTGTAATCTGCAGTATCTACCATTCCTCCAAACACACATTAGGAAATGCTTCATTATTAAATTGACATGCATTTAATGGGACACAGACTTTGGAAAGTCGAGGCAGGGCAAAGGAATTGAGTAGACATTGGAACTGCTGAAAACTGGCTTTTGCCAGTTCTGGAGAACTTTGCCCTAATCTCGTGCTATACGCTGAATGTTTATGTCCACTCAAAATTTATTGGGTTGAAATCCTAACCCTCAATGTGATAGTATTTGAAGATGAGGATTGGGGGAGGCGATTAAGTCATGAGGGAGCCCTCATGAATGGGATTAGTGCCTTTATAAAAGGGACCCCAGACAGCTCCCTATCTCCTTCCACCATGTGAGGGCACAATGAAAAGGAGCCATCATGAACCAGGAAGTGGAATCTCATCAGACACCAAATCTGCTGTCACCTTGATCTTGGGCCTCCCAGCCTCCAGAACTGTGAGTATAAATACATTTCTGTTGTTTACAAGCCACCCAATCTATGGTATTCTGTTATAACCATCTGAATACACTAAGATACATTACGTATTCACCAACTCAACCTCACCTAGCTAGCAGCAAGAGGTTCAGAGCTGGAAGAAGAGGGCCTCCTGAGGCTGGCTGCAGAGAAGAACAAGGAAAAGTAATCAGGATAAAAGGGGGAGAAAAGAAGCTGTGGTCCAAAACACCAAATTCAAGAGATTTAGCAAAATTTAGCATGACCTAGAGTGGGTCAGTCTATAAGGGATCTATTTGATTATTTGGGGGCAGGGAGGTCTACAGTGAGATTTTCCTAACTGTACTTGAGTGTCTGGGTCATGGACCAGGGACACCCATCTCAGCTGATGAGATGGATATTAGAATCTGGGACCAGTCCATAAAGAAACAAACCAAGGGGTGCAGATCGACAAGGGGTGCAGATCCAAGAGCCAATTCCAGAACTGGGTTGGGAGCTTGGAGTCAGTAAGACAGCCTGGCCATGCCTAGTTTAACTTGGGAAGATAAGGGACTGATACAGTTATTAAGGGCCCATATTCACATCTACATTCATCAGATGGAGCAGCAACAGATTTTAAAACCAGATTATTAGCAGAGAAGGAATTTCCATTCTACTGCCAGGCTGACCACCATCCCTTACCTTCACAGCCTCATCTCCAGCAGCTCCCCCTCATCCTTCATGCTCCGAACCAGAGGCCTGTTGTTAGCACCCCCTGCATGATCACATGCGTCTTGCTTTTTCTCTTACTGTCGTCCTTTTTGCGTATCACCTAGGTAACCACAACTGATTATTTAAGACCCAGCTCACGCAAGACCTCATTCATAAAGATGTTCCTGCCCTCCATGTGTCTCTTTACCTCTCCCACACTGGGCCAGGTGCACTTCCTTCATAGTTCCATAGAAACTTGCGATAACACTCCAGTAGGATATCATACTGTACAGATGGCAGATGTGCACATCTCTCTTCCATACAAGTATGGGAAGACTGCAATCAATGGCTGCTAATCTCAGCCAACCTGTGGCAGCAAGGTACACATGGAGTTAATTGACTGCCATGTAAAGTTGGAATTAAGCCTAGCATATTACAACATTTACTTTCTACTTGTAAACGTGAAAAGGGTACCCTTTCACATATAATTCTCCTGCCATTTGACCTCTGAAATAAAATGGAGCACACGGTGTCAAGGGAGCTAAGGCATCTTTCTGACACATGGTAATTACCCTTAAAAGTATACCTCCCAGTGAATCCCCTAAAAAACGCCACAGCTCAGATTCTGGCAGTGTTCATAAATCACCAGCTCTGGTCCCTCAGAAGTTTAGGAAGTTAGCAAGGACACTTGACAGAATTACTGCTTTTATTAATGTCATGGGCTTGGATTATTTATTTAAGATTACTAGGATCTGAAAACATGCACTCCAATTGAGCCTTCACCTAAATCACAAGGAATGGTGCAGATGCCTCTCTTGCTAGAAATCTCTTGCTATTTGCTGCTGATGGGAAGAAGCTCTCTAAGGGATAGAAGGAGCTGGTAAAACTCCAGGAAGAACAAGGATGATTAAAAGTATCTTTTCCAGTCCAAACACTATAAATGTTAAACACATGTTTTGCAGTTCAATTGTTTTAAAATATTTTCCAACATGACCTTTATAAATATTTGTGTGTCTCTCCCACTCCAAGGAGTCAATGACTGCTGGGTGCAGCCCCCTGAGGAGGTCTAATGAGGAAATGCTCCCAGTGCAGGAACTCTGCCCTGCAAGTAAGTCAGCCCCTGTTAGGATGTGTGCTACCCCTGCAGGTCACAGGGCTTCCAATTAGACTCTAATTACTAGAACACTAAATTGTTCAACATGACCCGAAAAGAAAATAAAGCTTCCCAAAGTTGGTGAAGCAGACAGAACCTCAGAACAGGAAGGGGCTTTCGAAATCATCTGGTTCAAACCCTCCTTTTACAGATGAAGGAAATGAGGCACAGAGAAATGAAGAGAGAAATCCAGGTTCATGAACAAGCCTCTGTCTCTGATCAGTTGAGTCTGCCTTTCGAGACACTACACGATTGGTTGGCTTTCCTTTTCCCTCCTCCTCTCTGTCCCCACCACTGTGTTCTCTTTCTCTTCCTGACACTAAAGCAGGGTATTCTGCATGATCCATTCCTTATCTCTCTCCCATCCCAACCCTATCTCCCAGCAAACCAAACCACTGCCGCTCCCCAAGTCCAGGGCACTGGGGGATGTGCTTTTTCTCTGTCTACAATGATTTTCTTTCCCTGGGAAGCTGATAGACATCTGCTCAGCCTTTAACACACAGCTAAAGACAGACTTGACTCTCCCCAGCCATTTCCTCTCTTGTGTTACCATAGTCATTCTCCATGTATATTGAAGTATAGCGCTTACAGCATTGAGTTCTAACCATTGGCTTAGTTATTAGCCTCTTTGACTCAACAATGCGCCCCACACAATGCCTGGCATGTGGTGCATCTCCCGTGTCTGGCCAGTCCCCTCTAGTCAGTTTCCACTCCAACTCCACCCCGGATCTATATTTCCTGGCCCAGTCTCCCTGCATGTCCCAACACTCTGCGGAATGTTCCACCAACATCTCAAACCTGTTCCCAGAGCTGAAATTATTGTTCCTCTTACCCTTCCATTCACCACCCCAAACCTACTCCTGCCCATCTCCCCATCCTTTGCCATTTACGGTATTGTAATCCTGTCAGTCACCCAGATTAAAACCCAAGGTGTTCATTGATCCCTTCTTCCCATCTGCCGCTGAACAATGGCTAAGCCCTGTTCATTCCACCTCGACCACATCTCTAGTGACATCACCCCTCCTCTTTTATTGGGACGACAGCCTGAATCCAGCCCTCTTCACTGCCTGTCTCACCATTTTCAGGACCCTCTGCTCTGTTCTCTCAGCTTCTGTTCTTGGTCCTCCAAGTCACCCAACACACTGCCGCTAGAGTAATCGTCCCCAAGGGCAGCTTGGTCACATCATTTTCTTGCTCAAAAATTTGCAATAACTTCTTTGTCCACAGTCCAAATTCTTTCCAAGGTCCCCCTCATCCAAGGTCCTCTGCAATTCAGCTTCTACTGCTTTTTCGTTCGTACCTCCAACTACTCCGATAACTCATTCTAATTCCAACCACTGCATCTCAGCATCTCATCGCTGTGTTTTCCTACTATACTTCCTACTAATGCTTCTAGCCTCCAGGCCCTTCTCATTAACTGTCACCTAAAATTCAACTCAATTATGAAGTCTAAGCAAGAAGTAACTAATCCCAAATCCTACAAAGCACTTTGTTTATAACTTTCTTTTAATATTATTCCATTTTTTCTTGGATTTTGGGTTGGGAGGAAGAAACAACACTGTAAGGGCAAAAATCCTTGCATCCCTCACAGAGCCCACCACAGTAGCATTTGGAAATAGTAGGCACTTAATACTCGCAGGCTGAACTGAATTAGATTATACAGAAAACAGAAGTCTACGTAACTACTAAATTCATGAATTCTAAGACTGACAATTTTTCACATTTATCACTTCTGAAATCAGAAAGCATCTTACAATGAATGATGTCCTAAATATCACAAAACTGATGAGTGATATTTTTCTTTCTTCCTGATACATAAAATAGCAGGGACTTTTGCAATGGATAATGTCTTCTACTCAAGAAAATAGGGTATTATCCCAAAGGATTATAAATCGTTCTACTATAAAGACACATGCACACATATGTTTACTGCAGCATTATTTACAATAGGAAAGACTTGGAACCAACCCAAATGCCCATCAGTGATAGACTGGATAAAGAAAATGTGGCACATATACACCATGGAATACTAAACAGCCATAAAAAAGAATGAGTTCAGGTCCTTTGCAGGGACATGGATGAAGCTGGAAACCATCATTCTCACCAAACTAACACCGGAACAGGAAGCCAAACACCGCATGTTCTCACTCATAAGTAGGAGCTGAACAATGAGAACAAATGGACACCAGAAGGGGAACATCACACACTGAGGCCTGTCGTGGGGGACAAGGGGAGGGAGAGCATTAGGACAAATATCTAATGCATGCGGGGCTTAAAATCTAGATGACGGTGCAGCAAACAACCATGGCACATGTATCTCCATGTAACAAACCTGCACATTCTGCATATGTATCCCAGAACTTAAAGTATAATAAAATAATAATTAAAAAAAACTAGATGACAGGTTGTTAGGTTCAGCAAACCCCCATGGCACATGTATACCTACGTAACAAACCTGCACGCTATGCACATGTATCCCAGAACTTAAAGTAAAATAAATTAAATAAAGAAATGTATAGTAACTAGAAAAAAATGAGACACGGTATTATAAAGTATCCCAATGTTAAGGCCATTTTGTGGACACAACAATGGTTTTGTAAAAAACGCAATTACTGCTACCAAAAGACAAATAAAATTGGCAATTCTCAAGAAACTAAAGGAAATCTATTCTTCCCACCAAAGAAGCTTAGTCTGCTATACAGCGTTCTTCATTCTCTAACTACAGCCAAATCTCAGTAGATGTAAGATGCTCATGGGACAAGGCTGCATCCAACTCATCTTCTGTGGTTAGCACCTTAAATATAGTAGGTATTCAATTCATCTTTATTGATTAGTTTACCTTTCATATAGGTATGTTGAAATAATTAAGACAACTAGAGGATATAGAGAGCTGTCCCAAAGCACAATAAGCATTAAGTTTGAGGCACCAAGCAAAGAAATAATAACTTCTTTAATCCCAACCCTTATCTGTATTATCCATATAGCCACTGTGCTTGTTGTGACCTTTTTGTTATTATAATCAGCATGACCCCGACTGACACTCATTGAGCGTTTATTCTAGACAGACTATGTTATGCTAAGCACTTTACCTATTTAACTCAGTCTTCAGAAAATTGGGTTGTAATAGAGAATCTGACTGCATTTTTTTGATGTTTAAATAGTGATCCCTCATCCTCCCCTCGTGCCCCACACTTGGCAAACTGATAAGAAAGCCCGGGTGTTTCCTTCTGTGGCACCCATGGGTGATTCAAACCACACAAGCCTCCATCTATACACAGAAATTCTTACCCCCAGCCCCACTCTCTAATCACAATAAAAACCCCAAGATAGCCTCTTTTCTCTGTTTACTCAAGGCTCTCAGACCTGCTTGGAAAGCATGCCCTGCTCTTTCCAGAAAACTTCGTCATGTAAGTAATAAATCTTCTCAGACCCCCTGTGAGTGTGTCACATCCAAACCAAATTTTGGGTAGGGAATCCATCCTGACTCTGAAGGGTGCTTGGAGCCAGGATAGATATCATTACCCCCGCCCCCTTTAACCTAGAAATAAACAGGCATACAGCTTTACCCATGGTCACACAGGCAGTAAGTTCATCCAGTCAGCAGACTCTGAACCCCACACTGCGTTTTCTGCTGCCTGAATTACTATTAAGAGCCTTCCACCTGGTCTCCTTGCCTCTAACTTTTCCTCCCTGCAATCCCTTCTCCAAATGAAAAACAGGAACAACTCATACCTAAGTAGGTAATTTTCCTTTTTCCATGGCTGCTCATGGTTGTACAGAAGATAACTCTGGCCCAATCTACTTTTCTAGACTGATCTCACATGACACCTGCTCCACCTATGGGGAAGGTCTCTACAGGTCCCCAGGAAGCCTGTGCTCTGCTCTATATTTTCACTTAATCATCTTCTCCATATACTACATTATATAACATACAAATATTATCTATTATAATAATTATATGCTGTAATGCAATTATTTGTTCACATATCCATCTCTCCAACTAAACTCTGTGCTTCTAGTACAGTGCCTGACACACAGAGAGAAAAAACAGATCTGATGAATGAAATAAGTCAGCAGAATGGCGTTATTGGAGCTTGATGAGAATAAGTAGTTTTGTTCTAATCATTTTAGTAGCAACACTCACTCAAGAACATTGTATTGCATTTGTCCAATGTACTCACAAATTAATATATACTAGTTTATGATTTTAATTTTTTTATTTCCAGAGTCTCAAATTGTGCACTTGAATTTTGAAAGCATAATAAACCTCCAACTACTCTTTTTGCCTTCAATCCCTCCTTCCAATTCAAGCTATAAATTTTCACATAAAGGAAATTACTGTCTCTAGACAATTATCTGTTATCCATTTGGAAATGAAAGAGGTTGAGTAAATTTAGCCTTCCATCCATGCCCTCATTTAAGTCAGTAGATTCCATCTCCCCATCCAGCTACTCAGTGGTTTTATATACAAGTGTCACCACAAGAAACAGACAAATTAATGATTTTTCCATTATGAATTCCATAGGCTAACAGGTTTCCCTGAGAATGAAAATATGTCCCTTCTCTCAATATCATGTACATCATTATTCCACATACACTTTCAATTCTACTACTTTTATGGAGCATTAGATGAAGAATAAATTAAGTGCTTTGGAAAGAGTCAAAGCTCCCTTTCTTAGAAATGGAAAGATCTAATCCAGGTATCCCCAGTCACAAGATGTGGACCTTCTTGTTGTCTTTGAAGTCTTTCCTTGTTAAGCAGAATACCATGCACCAATATCAACCCTTGGGACCATGCATCAGTTATGAATCCCAGGGAAGGCCTCTAAACACCTCACCAATACCATCCACCAGCATCAATTCCAGAGAACTCTAAATACCTTGCCAATGTCTGCTAAGGTTTTTAGATCTGGCAAGAGGTTTTGCACAAACCCAGCTACCAGAGGTTTTACATAAACCCAACCTCCAACATATGAGTCTAGTGAGACAGAACACTTACACAAGAAGTCATGCAGAGCAACTTTATCACTCCCAGACAGGCAGCATGAATCAACAGAAGTCTCAAATCCACGGTGAGCTGGCTCCCCAGGGCTCAGGAAAACTGCCTAGGGAAGATGTAATCTTACTGGATTTTATACCCTGGGGGAACTCGGATTACTGAGCTGAAGCGTTGCAGGACCCCAAGGAAACAGATCACTGAGCTAAAGTGTTGCAAGACATCCTGTCCTAGGAAGGAATAGGACAAAGCTTGGGCTGTTGCAGAAATTTCCTCCTTATCTCAGGATACTGCATTCTCAGCACATTCTGCAATTATCCTGACAACTACAAACAGGAGATGGAAGAGCTGGTTCAGCCAAGGCCATTCAGGGACCTGTCATCCTGCATACCAGATTCATTTCTAATCAATTACAGATGCTTCCTTCCCTCTTTAATTTGCCATACTTTCCAACCTAAGAGAGGAAGACAGAATCCATGGTGTCCTCTTCCCTAGTCCTCCACTCAGAAGGTCCATTCATCACCCTCACCCTCCGAACTAAAAGCTTCAACGTCCAAGAAATATCACATATAGCATCAACATCTCTCCAGTAGGGGTTGAGGGCATTGAATAAACCCACTGAGAAATGCTGTGGCTACTTTCTCTGAAAGTACTTAACTCATATTATTGGCTAGACTATTGAAACAATTCAGTCAAATAATCATGTAAGTCCACCAAATAACTGATTTAAACCCCAGAATTTGCTCATTTAAATTTGCTGATTATTTTTTCATTATATGGATGGCAACTGTACCACTTAGTGCCAAAGGCAACATAATGGTGATAATGAAAATAGACACAGTTTTGCTTGATAATGTCTATGAACATATGAGATTGAGGATTTGTCTTAAATACTAAACCTCTCAGTGTATAGATAATAAAACTATTACCACAGATCAGTATCTTACCTAAAATTATAAAGTCATTCTTTTGCAAAACTGGCATAATTAGCTTCCCATTCAATTGTCTGTACAAGTAATTTAACTTCACAAGAAGTTTCTTTTATGGATTCTTATTAGATTTAAAACATCACATTGAGCTAAAACTCATAAATTCGTCTGAATAAGAATGTATTAATGCTGCCCTCAAAAGACTTCCAGTTAAACAGTCCAGTAATTAGACTGGAGGGAAGATTGAGAGAGAAAGTCCTGGCCATTTAAAGGTGAACTCTGCAAGCATGAATCAAAATCCTGTGTACATGGAACAACCAGGTAGGAAATTCGATGGTGCTAAGCTCCATTGGCTGAGTTGGATACAAAGGTCCAAGCTTCTAAAGAGTGTTGTTTTGGTGTCAGCATGGTACCATGTAGAGGATCTAGGACCAGCAAGGCATGTACATTTTCCATTTGGGCAGATATTACTTAATTTGAACATGGCAAATCTAGGCTTGGGAGTGTATGAAAACAAACAGAAATATGGAAAGCTTATTAAAACCTTCCTCCTTACTACCCATCTATTTTTGGGGGGACCTAATCTGGTAAATAAAAATAATATTGTCTGATTACACCTAGGAATATCTACGTGGGAAACTGGTGTATGAAGGAAATAAAATTATGTGTTGTGTGAAATTCAGAAGGCTTGTCATCGGATACAATGCAAAGCAAAGGTTAAGTATTATGTGCTTCTTTTTATGACAATGAAAATAAATAGAAAAGACAAAAAATTATTTCTAAAAGGTGAGATTTTAGGCTGGTCCAATTTCTGGACTTATGTAATCTTCCCACTAATAGTGTGTATCTGTACCCATTATACCTATTTTCTTATTTTAAATCAAATCTTAAAGGCAATCTCTCCAAGGACATACCAGAATAAAGGACACCTAAAGGACTTATCTTAAGACACTGACACATATTTGCATCACTGGTGGCAAAATGAGGCAGAAGTCTGATCTGAGAACACCTAAACGAAAAGTGTGAAATTATTCTTATACCAGGAGAAATATATCTTATAAAAACATATTGAAAAAGCCACTGAGCTGTATTAATATAGTTACGTGTGTGTGTGTATATCTATCTACAAATAGATAGATAGATAGATAGATATGTTTGTTGAGACTGAATTCTAGACTCTTCCTTTCATTGTACATGCAGGGCAATGTACAAATTCAATGTACAGTATCATACCGATATGGAAATAATTTCCATTTTGCCTGTTTACTTCTTTACTCTAAAATATGATGTAGGTGAGTACTTTGCAAAATGTGTTAGGATTTCTACTGAGATATCAAACAATTTCTCAAAGCAATGTCACCAATTAGTATTTTTAATTCAAAAAAAAAATGTGTGAGAAAACAAACGCTCTCTTGGCCTCATGTGTGAAAGAATGGAGAACATGGCCTTTGCATCTCTTCTCAGTCTTTGCAGAGCCCATGCTCCAATCCCAATGAAGCAATTGTGCCAAGTTGAATCCCCTACTTTGCCTGTAACTAGAAATAGCCAAGGAGTCCATTAGCATCCCCAAAGTAACTACAGCTGATCTAAATCATCCAAACTGATTCAGATTTTGAGGCCACAGGACCTATGAGATTTCTCGTGAATAGAGAAGAACTTTCAGTCATTCAGGGATTCTAAAGAGTAATCTCCACCTTTCCAACATAATTAGGAAGGAAACTGACCCACTATGCCAAATCAGCCTTGGGAAATAGTTGTCAGCACACAGCACAAAAATCGTCAAACTGAAGGACACTGTAACAATTGTTGAGTTCCGTCTTCTGAGAGATGCAGGCATTCCCTAGACGACATTCCCACCCAGGTGTTCTGGAGTCTGCTTCAGCATTTCCAACAATGAGTTATCTTAATATGATTTTTAATTTTTAGAAAGAGAATTACAGTACCCTCCATTTGTAATACACTTTGGAAAAATACTTTTCAGTGTGTTAATTTCAGACCCCAAGGAGTCCCTGAGGACCCTTCGGGGGTCTTGGAGTTTAAAGCTATTTTCATAATAAAATAAAGATACTATTTTCGTTTTTTAGTGTGTTGACATTTGCACTCATGGTGCAAAAGCAATGGGTCAAACTACTGGCCACTCAGCACAAATCAAGAAATGGTACTAAATTCAACTAGCAATCATTGTATTCTTCACTGCCAGCCACTGGTGGGTTGGGGCGAGGTGGGAGGGGGTGTTTTACTTACTGATGGCCCTGATGCGGCAGTAAAAATGAACTGACTAAATCTGAACACTTGCATATACATTTTAAAAATACTGTATTATATTTGAAGAAATGGGAGTCAGACATAAAGTGCGTCAGCTGCGTGACAAAGAATGATGCTTGACTTCTGGGATCATTTGAGTTGCAAGTCGCATTAGTCACTATTCTTCACAGAACATCATTGGTACTTGGAAGAATGACTGACAGCAGATCATGGTTATTCTGATTTGGTTACTTGGCAGAAACTTTTCAAAAAGTCAACCAAATAAATCTGTCAGGTCAAGGTAAACAACTGGCAATATTTGTTGCCAATGATAAAATTCAAGAAAAGCAGGAAATACACTAAACAAATTGGACTTCAGAACAAACAGAAATGCCTCTACTTGTGAAGACCATAAATTTCAGTAGCAAAATTTCGTACCAGAAGCTTTCTTACTAAAGGTAGACCTGCCCAAAGCATATGCATTAACCCAGAACATTTTGCAGTTTGCTCTGCTGTTAGCAAGATGTTCCCCTCACTACAGGTGACATGAGCAAGGAGTCCCCAGTTTTCTGGGCCTATTCAGAGGCCCATTTGGTGTGGCTAAGGATGCATCCAACAGAGCTTGGCAGAACCTTCCCTGCTTCTAGCCAGAGACGCTTCGACAGGTAACCCTCCTCAAAGCTGAGCTCAGCCCTGGCCTATTGAAAACAAAACAGGAGACCTTCTGCCTTATTTCATAACCATAACCATCCCATCCACCATGAAAGACCCAGTGCTGAAAATGCAGAAACTCCCCCAACTCCCTTCAGGTTTGTTTTTCCCATAGGATTTGTCATTTTATACTATGAATGTTAAAATTTGTTCCAAGGTTGGCTTCAATATGCAAGAAATAAGGCAGAAAAGAGATCAAAAGGAGATAAATCCTTTTAATCAAAAAATATTAACACCACAAAACAGCAGGGTTTATGTCGCTTGTGTTCTTTTGGTTTCTATGTGTTTGTTCTTTTTTATTTTGTTTTATTTTAATCTTCTGGCTCTTAAAGAAAAAAGAAACAGAAAATTACATAAACCAAAGAGAAGTTTAGAGATCCCTCATGAACAAAGATTGAATAATAATCTAATAGGACAAGTAAAGACAATTTAATAATAACTCATGGGTCTAGGTCACCAGTGCCCTGTAATGGAAGACACATGTATAATTTAAAATTTTCTCATAGCCACTTTTTAAAAAGTGAAATAAAACGGGTAAAATTAATTGTAATAATGTATTTTATTATTTTAATGTCATCAATATAAAAATATTAACTAGATATTTTACATTATTTGTTCATACTATATATTAGTTTCCTACACCTGCCAAAATAAAGTGGCATAGATTGAGTAGCACCAACAACGGAAATTTATTCTCTCAAAGTCTGGATGCTGGAAGTCCCAGATCTAGGTACCACTAGGGTTAAGTTCTTGTGAGGGCTCTCTTCCTGACTTCCAGACAGCCGCCTTCTTACAGTGTGCTCACATAGCAGAGAGAGAGCTCTCTGGTGTCTTTTCTTATAAAGGCACTATTCCTATGAGGATCCCACCCTTATAAACTCATTTAGGCTTAATTACTTTCTTACTTCAAACCTCCCATTGGGGTTTAGGGCTTCAGCATATGGATTTTGTGGGGTGGGGGGACACAATTCTATTTATAACATACTAAGTCTTTAAAATCTGATGTGTATTTTACACTTGCAGCACACCACAGCTTGGACTAAGCACATTTCAAATGTTCAATAGCCACAAGTGGATTCTGGCTGCTGTCTTAGACAGTCCTGACCTCAATAAATGGTTATTGGCTTCAGAAGTGAGAGCAACTCTGAAACTGAGAATTGCGGAGCTAGAGCCAAGAGCCTGATCTTTAGATAGAAGGCAGTTACCCTAGGAAGAAGCCTGGCCAGAAGCCAAGGTTCACCTGCAGGCAGCCAGGGAAACTGATGACACACTGCTTAGGGGAAAATAATTAGTCTTCAAAACCCAACTGTCAGTTTCCAAAGTTTGTGGACAAAATTGGCAGCCAAAGCTTAATGGAACATTTTTCCTCAGCTAAGAAAAGAGTAGCAAGATTTCTGGATGTGACTCGCTACAGGGTGTGTGCAGGTTCACCCCGCTCCCCGCTCAGCCACTGTAAGCTCCCGGGGGACTCCAGCCACAGGCATGGGCTTGGGATGGGGGAGGGTTCTCTAGTGACTTGCCTTTACAAGGGAATTGGTATGACTGGCATTCATCACTGGCAAGCATAAACAACATTAAAGCACACCAAATCCTGCCATGTTACCTTCTGTTCACCAAAACTGCAGGCAAACCAAAAACAAACAAACAAAAAAGATGTTGAAATAAGGAAACAATGCCTTAAGGAAAAAAATAATCCCTTGATTTTCACAACAAACAATAAAACAAACAATAAATAAATAACCTTCAAAGGTAAAAATTATTGTCCTTTTAAATATAAAATCACACCTGCAGCAAGAAAAACGCAAGTCATACATATAACAGATACCAAAACCCAAGAGAATCAAGAAAAACATTTCAGTTCAGAACATTGAGCAGTTGATACACTCTGTAAGAGTTCTCCATTTGATTAGTCATTTTTAATTCTACCTGTGGACTCTTAAAGGTGTTCTTTTCCCATAATGGTAATAGTAACTCTCAGGGACCCACCTAGGCTTTGACCTGCCAGAGGCAAAATTGTGACAGTGTCTTTGGCAGCTCCAACCTCTCCTTACTGGGACTCCAGCTCCCCTCTGTCCCACACACTTCTTAGCAGCTTCCCACTACTTTCCGGGCCTTTAGCTTTCACTATCCTAGAAGGGCAATCCAATAGGCACATTTGCCCATAAACTTAGCTGCAGTAGAATCTGTTCTTTGCCTGCTCTATAAACCTTCTCCTTTTTCCTGGTAGTAGCCTGCTTTCTCTGGAGAACTATCCCTTCCTCACTCTCTGCCTGCGGTTGAGGTGGAACTGACTCCACCTTCAGTATCCAGGGTGGACCCATGACTGGGCACCCAAGCCACGTGTTCCATCCGTTGGCCACAGTGACAGGTGAGGAAAGGGCATATAAACAAAGTCAACCAAGTAAGCAGTTCCCTCCGGAACTTCTCCAAAGGCCACAAGGAAAAACACTGCTCTCCTACTGGTGCTGCTGACAGAACCGTCTTGCCACCATCTGGGGACAAGACTGCCCAAATGAAGTGAGCAGAGGGAAAAACAGATTCCAGAGATGGGGAGATGTGTCCTCTTGACATCGCTCCAGTACCTGGTTCCAATGATCCAGGTTTCTGATTAAGCTGCTTTGAGCTGGGTTTTCTGTCACTTGCAACCAAGAGTCTTGACAAATAGAGCACTATACTAATTTAACCTCTTCAGAATAAACATCCCTCCTACTCCACCCCTCCCTCAACATCACCACCACTCCCAGAAGAGAACAAGGCTTAACAACAAAGGAAGAGATCCCCAGTGAGGGGATTTTAGGCACCTACGGCAAATTAATGAAGCTGATAGTTACAGGCAGGAAGTTTTTCCAGCATCCACACAGCTTCTAAAAACGTTACATAGTTAACAGCTCATACTGTTTCACTAAGGCCAATTCTGCTGTTTTGCATTCTTGGTCTACTGAGTTTTCCTTTAGTTATTTGAGCCCAGAGCCGAAAACATCTCAATAAGCCAGATGCTTTCCATTAGAACAGGCCAGGGTTGGGTTCTCACAACCGTGAGATGAAACAGCTATGTCTCCCTCCTACTGAATTATCCTCCCAACCATTGAAACCAGTCTCCTTTATTACAGCCTCCCTTTCATCCAATTATCCTTAGGCCAGAGTCACCTTTCTCTAACATTTATATACTCATGATTTTCCTGCTCAAAACTTTTTCATGGAATCAGAATAATGTTTAAAGTCCTTAGCATTGCCATCTCCTCTGTGAAGTCTTCCTAGACAACCCCTCTCCTCCACCACAGGATCCATACTTCTTTGGTGGCTTAGTATTTTATCTGTCAGTCTTCAATGATAGCTATTTGTGTGGCTATATTTTCTCCACCTGATTCTGTATTATAAATTCCTTGAGAATGGAGCTGTCTTATGCATCCTTTTTTCTTTTTTTCTTTTTTTTTTTTTTTTTTTTTTTTGTGAGGGGGAGTTTTGCTCTTGTTGCCCAGGCTGGAGCGCAATGGTGTGATCTCTGCTAACCGCAACCTCTGCCTCCCAGGTTCAAGCAATTCTTCTGCCTCAGCCTCCCGAGTAGCTGGGATTACAGGCATGCACCACTATGCCTAGATGAATTTTGTATTTTTTTATTTTTTTTAGTAGAGACATCGTTTCTCCATGTTGGTCAGGCTGGTCTCTAACTCCCGACTTCAAGTGATTCATCCGCCTTGGCCTCCCAAAGTGCTGGGTTTACAGACATGAACCACCATGCCTGGCCGTATGCATCTCTTAATTAAAAATTCCTGGCTGAGAAACAGACAAAAGCACTCGAGATGTGCATAGAATGCCTTGACCTCCACAAACTGGCACCAACCTACATTTCCACCACTCTACACACCCATCATTGTTCCTCTGTTCCAGCCATATAAGACAGCTTAGTTGGGGTCTCTTTGGATTTACTCAGACCAGCAGACATAATAACAGTTACCCTCTGGCTTCCCCACTGTCTATTATATACACTTTTTCCTAATATGTAGTGTCCGATTTGTAATAATTTCAACTTCATGATATCTCTTATTCATAATGTCCTTCTCTACCTCATTTCTCCTGGTGCACACATCTTCTCAGCTTCACTTTCCAAACCTAACTGCCGATTTTCTTCATTTCAGGATGCAATTTTTTAGGAATGAGACTCCAGCCAACCCAGTTCTTCCCTATTTGTGCAAAGCTTTCCAGGTCAGGACCCAGGCCAGCCATAGGTTGGCTGCTTTTGGATCAGCTGCTCCTCTCTGGTCCAACCAGCCTGGACAGTAGGGGCCACATGTCTGCCTTGGTCCATCCATATTATCGTGAGTGGGCTAGTCATCCTTAACTGAGGCCAGGGTTAGGTCAGGCACCCTACGATTGTCCAAACTGTGCCCCAAACACTATACCCACTGACACTGTTTAATCAATCATTCATTTGAAATGCCCTTCCACCCACTTTCTCCATTTGAAACTTCATCCTTAATAAAATCCAATTTAAATATTACCTACACTATGAGAACTTTCCCAAATCTCCGAATGGATATAAACCTCTCCTTTTTATGCAATCCCAAAGTACATGGTGCCTTTAATTTAGTATTATCACACTATCCTAGATGGTAAACATTTGGAGATGTTTCTTGGGTTTTTTTCTGGATTGTAGATTTCTTAAAGGCTAGGACCATAGCATTTATATTTTGTTTCCCACAGTATACCTCACAGAGAGCTTAAAAACAGTGATATTCAATAAAAAGTAAAATTAAATTAAATTCCAAATAGCTACTAAATTGTAAGAACAATTTTGGAGATGCAATATAGTTAGCTATTGCCCTCGACTTCTTTCCACTGAGTCCAAATTGTCCCTAAAATACACCCCATTTCTATCACACTGTGTGTTCTTTTGCAGCTTTCAAGTCCCTCTACTTCCTCCAGGATTCAGTCAGTTCTTTCCCAAATCCCTCAGGCTACTCTATCCTACTCTATCTAAAAGCCCCAACCACTATGCTTTGATTTCAGTTGGAACAACCTGGCTGTCAAGATCTCCAGGGCCTAGAGATCAGCTCATAGCCGTATCTATTTAAGCTTCCTTAGCAGCAAAATCCAGTGAGCCTCTGCTTTCTAAGTTCCTAAATTTGGACTTTTTGTTCAGAAAAACTTGTACATGTGATTTGCCACAGAGGCAAACTTAAAATAAAATGAACTTTTGCCTTTTCACAAAAATGTGAAATGGGCTTAACTTAGTCCAAAAACCAATAAATAGTTCTGTTTCTTTTTTTTTTTTTTTTTTTTCTTTTCTTTTTGAGACGGAGTCTCACTCTGTCGCCCAGGCCGGACTGCGGACTGCAGTGGCGCAATCTCCGCTCACTGCAAGCTCCGCTTCCCGGGTTCACGCCATTCTCCTGCCTCAGCCTCCCGAGTAGCTGGGACTACAGGCGCCTGCCACCGCGCCTGGCTAATTTTTTGTATTTTTAGTAGAGACGGGGTTTCACCTTGTTAGCCAGGATGGTCTCGATCTCCTGACCTCATGATCCACCCGCCTCGGCCTCCCAAAGTGCTGGGATTACAGGCGTGAGCCACCGCGCCCGGCCAGTTCTGTTTCTTATATGATAAAACATCCAGCACTTTGCATGACAAATCAGACAATCTGGAATTTGCTTTGAAGGCTAAACTTGTCTTAATAATTTTAAATTACTAAGCTGGAAAATAATACTCCCAATTGTTAAAAAATCTTAAAAGAGCCTCTACCATTAGACAGAGCTTTCATAAAACAGTAAAGTGTCCTCCAGTCTTCTAGATCTAGAAATGTCCACAATTCTTGATTATTCAAGAAACTAGGCTGGGTGCGGTGGCTCATGCCTGTAATCCCAGCACTTTGGGAGGCCGAGGCGGGCGGATCACCTGAGGTCAGGAGTTCAAGATCAGCCTGGCCAACGTGGCAAAACCCCATCTCTACTAAAAATACAGGTGGTGGGCACCTGTAATCCCAACTACTCAGGAGGCTAAGGCAGGAGAATCGCTTGAACCCGGGAGGTGGAGGTTGAGATGAGCCGAGATGGTGCCATTGCACTCTAGCCTGGGCAACAGTGCAAAACTCTGTCAAAAAAAAAAAAAAAAGAAAAGAAAAGAAAAAAGAAAAGAAACTATTATCTAACTTATGGATTTCCTGGTCTTCACTTTCATATTCTTTCTTCATGCTTGCTTTCTCTCTTTTAACCCCTCTGGCAAAGGCTGAGTAAAACAAAGTGAGATGAAAAATTAAATAAAAATTGAAAACATGCTGCATGATAGTCATTAGTTTCATTATGGACATTAATTCTTCCTTGGCCTTTTTCACTGAAAAAGTGCACTCCACGTAACACTTCCTGCTAAGATCATGCTATTCCACTGGGGCACACGATGTTACTGACCCACTCTGCTGACTCCATGTCTCAGCGACTCCATTCCCAAAGTGTTAATCAAGCATTCTGCCTCTTATTTTTAAAGTAAGCTTGGGTGGGAATGTGATTTCAACACAGTGGATGATAAAGAGCTATCAAGAATTCATGCTCGGGCATCTAATTTGCTTTTAACCTAAATGCCCTTCAATGGTAGACTGGATAAAGAAAATGTGGTACATATACACCATGGAATACTATGCAGCCATAAAAAAGGACGAGATCATGTCCTTTGCAGGAACATGGATGGAGCTGGAGGCCGTTACCCTTAGCAAACAAATACAGGAACAGAAAACCAAATACCACATGTTCTCACTTATAGGTGGGAACTGAATGATGAGAACACATGGACACGCAGAGGAGAACACCACCCTGGAGCCTATCAGAGGGTGGAGAGTGGAGGGTAGCAGGAGGGAGAGGATCGGAAACAATAGCTAATGGGTACTCAGCTTAATACCCAGGTAATGAAATAATCTGTGCAACAAACCCCTACCATACAAGTTTACCTATGTAAGAAACCTGCACATGTACCCCTGAACTTAAAATTAAATTTAAAACAAAATTCATGCCCTGGTTTTCCAGGCTATTTTTACCTTGGAAAATAGACTCAGTCATTTTTAAAAGACAAAAGTCCAACTGTTTGAAAAGCAAAGTCCATGCAAGAGAATGCAATGTTAAGTTCAGATACCTGAAAACTTCTACCTGAGGATTATTTTTTGAGACCTGCCACCTTTATGTGCAGCAGTCCTCAGCATCTCTTTTTATTTTTATTTTATTTTTTTTGAGATGGAGTCTGGCTCTGTCACCCAGGCTGGAGTGCAGTGGTGCGATCTTGGCTCACTGCAAGCTCCGCCTCCTGGGTTCACGCCATTCTCCTGCCTCAGCCTCCCAAGTAGCTGGGACTACAGGCGTCTGCCACCATGCCCGGCTAATTTTTTTGTATTTTTAGTAGAGACAGGGTTTCACCGTGTTTGGCAGGATGGTCTCGAACTCCTGACCTTGTGATCCACCCACTTTGGCCTCCCAAAGTGCTGGGATTACAGTCATGAGCCACTGCACCCGGCCCAGGTCTCAGCATCTCTTTAACATGTATAGAGGACCCCAAGAGCTTTTGTTTATGGAAATTATACCTATTGATATTTATCATATTAGAAATTAAAAGAGAAATTTTAAAACTGTTTCATCCATTAAATAACCCAAAATGACTATAGCGAATACATTACGTATTAACACAAATGACATATATTTTATTTTTAAAAATAACTATTTTCCAAAACCAAAGAAAATTTGCAGTGTCATTGTTTTACATTGTTTGCAAATCTTATATGATATCTTTATAAAATACCTTGCTTAATAGAAGACAGCTGGATTTTCCTGTCTGCCTCTGCATTTAATCTGTTGCGATGTGTTGTTTTGGCTGAAATAGCTGAAGAAAACTTGGCTTCATACAAATACAGCTGAAAAAAGAAGGACCTTGCCGACGCTCTGAAAGGCACATTTTGAGAACCACTGGGGTGGTGATATAGCTATGCATATGACACAGCTGTCATTGTGTAATTCAAATCCAGCTTTTGTGTTCTTACTTCAGCAGAGCTTCACTGATGGGCTTTGAAGGAGGCAATCCTGCATTTGAAAGCTGCCTCCATCCCTCTGGCTACGTGTTTTTGGACAGGATACTTTATTCCATCTGTAACTGAAGTCGTTGGGAGGATCTAAGAATGCCTGACATTCTTAGGTGATACAGTAGGCACTTCATAAATGCGCATTTTCTTTCTTTTTCTCTCACCTTTCTGTATGGTAGACACACCTGACAGCGGTAAGTTAACTTAAGCATATCCTAATAATGACCCTGCATGGCCAATGCAGTTGAATGTGTGTTCAGAGTTCCAAGCTAAGGAATTCGGGAGTGGCCAACACAGTTTCATTCCTTATCTATGAGGAACATCTAAGCCCCAGGGCCATCCCATCCCATAAAACATGGGTGTACAGGGGATGGAAGCCCTTTGTTTTGGGTTAAATGAAGGTTGCCAGGTGGTTGTTAGAGGGAGGGTGCTGAGTGAAAAATGCTGCATAAACCACATGCTCTTTGCAACCAGTTATGGTGCTGCCTAGGCTGCTGCTACTGGACTGTAGGTAAGGTGGTTCTCCTGTACAGTCAACACCACTGGACTGTAGGTAAGGCGGTTCTCCTGTACAGTCAACACCACTGGACTGTAGGTAAGGCGGTTCTCCTGTGCAGTCACCACAACTGGACTGTAGGTAAGGTGGTTCTCCTTACAGTTACCACCAATGGACTGTAGGTAAAGTGGTTCTCCTGTACAGTCACCATCACTGGACTGTAGGTAAAGTGGTTCTCCTGTACAGTCACCATCACTGGACTGTAGGTAAGGTGGTTCTCCTATACAGTCACCACCACTAGACTGTAGACAAGGCAGTTCTCCTGTACAGTCACCACCACTAGACTGTAGACAAGGCAGTTCTCCTGTACAGTCACCACCACTGGACTGTAGGTAGGGCGGTTCTCCTGTCCAGTCACCACCACTGGACTGTAGGTAGGGCAGTTCTCCTGTATAGTCTGCCACCACTGGACTGTAGGTAAGGCGGTTCTGTCTAGCCCACCACCACTGGACTGTAGGTAAGGTGGTTCTCCTGTCTAGCCAGCTGCCACTGGACCACCTTGTTTGTAAGTTTCCTGCTAATCAAACTCCATGTCTCGTTTGTTGGCTTTGGGTCTCTTCTTTGGCCTCTTCAACCTGGTGCCATCACTATTGAAGCTAATAGGGGTCTGACAGGACACATTCTGGGATGATTAATTTCATGTGTTAGCGTAACTAGACCACGGGATGCCCAGAGTCTGGTTAAACATTATTCTGGATGTGTCTGTTTGGGTGTTTCTGGGAGAGGTTAGCACTTGAATTGGTGGACTGAGTAAAGTAGATTGTCCTTCCCATTGTGGGTGGATTTCATTCAACCCATCAGGGCCTGAACAGAACAAAGAGACAAACAAAGGAGGAATTCTCTCTCTCTGCTAGACTGCTTCAGCTAGGACATTGGTCTTTTGCTGCCCTTGGTCTGGGACTTACACCATCAGCACTCCTGGTTCTCAGGCCTTTGGACTTGGACTGGAATTATATTAATACCGCCAGGTTTTCTGCATCCCCAGATTGCAGACAGCAGATCGTGGGACTTCTCAGTCTCCATAATTGCATGAGCCAATTCCTTGTAAACCTCATGTGATGGATAGATAGATAGATAGATAGATAGATAGATAGATAGATAGATCTATAGAGCATATCCTATTTGTTCTGTTTCTCTGCAGAATCATGATAAATATACCTTTTCTTTGCCTTTTTTCCTCTGCTAATGTTCTGATCACTAACAAAACACAACTCTTGTCATGGGTATTTGTTTAATAGCAGGCATTTGTGGTTTACTGCCCACTATCCACACCTGTTCCTTCTGGTTACAGAGCCGAGTTTTCAGTTCAGAAGTTTGGATGGTGTTGTCCCAGTTCCAACCAATAGACCATGATAGTCTTACTTTAGTCCAGATTGGCCATCTGCCTGGCAAGATGATTTCTTCAAGGATAACATAAACCCAGCCAAAGAAAAGTTACCACTCTTCTTTTGGACTTGGTAGTGGGAGGACAAGAGGCAGAGGGGTGTAGGTTGCTTCAGCCTTCTTGGCCTATGAAAGGAGTCACTGAGTGAAGGCAGCTGGCACCTACAGAAAGCGCAGACAAGACAGAAATCTCGTGGATATTGTTAGAGGTTTAAAGCAGGCTCTACCCCAAATCAGAGCTTCCATAGGCTTCCAGTTATGTGAGCCAACACACTGTTTCTGCCAAGTCTAGTTTGACTTAGGTTTTCTATGACTTTCATCATGCAGAATCCTAACTGATATACCCTCCGGTATGATTGTTTCAGTGGCATCTCCTAAACCTGGTACCTCAGTGAATAAACTTGAGCTGGAGCTGCGAGCCATCCAGCCACTACCAACACCCACACATGGAAAAAACCATGAGATGAGGAAGAGAGAATCCCATCCTAATGACATTGTTTGAGCTGCTAAATCCATCTTAGTGCTGCCCTGCACTCTCCAATTACGTGTATGCATATGCTGATTTGGGTTCATTTTTCTGTCACCTATAACCAAAAGATTTCTAACCAAGATATTGGCAATGCCAGAGACTCTCACATGGTGGTGAATGACTTGCACAACTATTAAAGCCTCAAGAACTACGTAAAAATACCCCTGGACCATCGTGCTAAAATCTTAATACTTGACTTTAGCATGGGTGGTTTACCTAAGGAAATGTTGAGAAGAACAACTTTTGCTCAGCATGGCTTAATACCAAACCTACTGCCCTTACTTCCATATTTTCCTTGGTTGTTATCACACTACATCATGGGCCTGGAACCTGATAATCTTGCAGACTCTAATATATACATTGATCTACCTTTCCCCTTTTCCAATTTTCTAGCAAGTCCCCTAAGAGTTTCTTTTTCAAATGACTGGAATTTCCTGAGTGAAATTTGTTCCCTCAGCCTCACTGTAAGCAGGGATGCATTTAGAAAATTCTGATGCATGGAAGGTATTTTTGAAACTTGTAATCTACCAAGAGAAAATGTTCTACCACATTTCAGCTAAGCTACTCCCACAGGATCAGGATCAACTAAATGCAGAGAATTGCCCCTTTACATTTCCAACTTAAACTATTCTGCCTGGTCCTCAGCTTTAAGCATGTTTCCCAAAAATAAAGAAGAAAGAAGCTCCTTAGGAGCACCTCCCAGTTCTCCCCTGGTGTGGACAGCCTCCTGGCTTCAGCACAAACTAGCCTGTAGAAATGGAAGTGAAGTTAGCCCAAGTCATAGAACATTGGGCCACGGAGATAAATCAAGACTGAACTGGATGCTGTGTCTGAATTATTTGACTTGGCATCACACTCAGCAGATGATTGTCAGTTTCCCATTTCCTTTTGTGCTGTGCTTTCTCAGACTCCACACCAAAAGGAAGCTGATACTCTCTCTCCATCGCTGACACACCACCCTCCTGCCAACTGTGGGAGGATCCTGGCTTTGTACGGCCTGAGGTTTATACCATTTGGGGTCCCTCTTTCAGAATACAGAATTTAAAATAAAATATTGGAAGTGTCCCATATGAGAGAGAAGCCCTCATGCTTAAGTTTCATTAGCTCCATGGGAAATCCAGCACTGCCCCTATCCAAGAAGGGGTGGGAGCCTAAGGCATAGAGCACCTTGCCCCTGTAGCTACTTCACAAATGCCTTTGACTGCCAAGGAAAGGAGCTTTATCTTCATTGTTATACCTTTCTCTCTGCTCTATTTTGGTTTTTGCATAGAAGAAAGGGAGATTACTCTGCTTCTCTTGGAAACCAACCATTAGGAAATTCTCAAAACCTGCAGCAACACTCAAGAGAATTGTAGAATGTTCCATGTCAAAGAAACATTAACAACTAGATTATCAAAACTTCTTGCTTTCTAGATAAAGAAACAAAGCTAAAAATGTGCCAAAGGCTGTGCTTTAGCAGAATGTCTAGTCCAGAGGACTAGAATTTAGGTCTTTGCTCGAAAAGAAGCATGCAGGAGCCACAGCCACTCACACAGCCCCCGATCTGTGCTCTCTCTCAAAGCTCACCCTGTCTTTCAATGATTGCAATGAAACGGTAACTTTTACTTACACATTTTGAGGAAGTGGTCACCACAAATCTGCCCTTTGAGAGAGAAGAGTATTTTAAAGTGTCGTAACCAGTTTGAATATCAGCCTAGCCATTTGTTAGCTATGTAAGGTTGGGATCAGTTACTTAATCATGCTGATCCTTTTGTGTCTTCATTTGTGAAATAAAAATGGTGCACCTTCTTGGCAAGGCTTCTTGGTGTGTCAACTATTAGATGTCAACTAATAATAGATGTCAACTATCTCCTGCAGTGGCTGTCATTCCAAATGCAGACCATGCAAATGTATCTGCCTTGGGCTCCTCCCAAAGACCCCTGAATAAAAGTATAGAGGTACAGAAAGGAATCTGTCATAAAAGTGAAGAGAATAGGACAGTCACCAATACAGAGAGTTCAACCAATTTCAACACATTTCTGTAACACGGAACACGGATAGGGATGGGTAGACAGAAGAAAGAGGTTTAGGAAGCCACTACATTTAATGGAGGAGAAAAGGATTAGGATACAGTCTGCCCAGCAGAACCTCAAGCCCTAAAGAGGGCTCTAGGTCCAGAGTCAGCAGATTTTACCCAGGTGGGAGTGAGAGGTGGGGGCTTAATGGGATATCTCTAAATTGTGCACGTGCACCAGCCCAAATCCTCATCCTCACCCTCCTCTTCCCACCCTTGTTTTCAGAGAGAAAGTTTTCTTTGGAGTAAAATATCAACACTTCTGCAAAGCCAGTGAACAAATTATATGAGGAAAGCTAATGCTTTACTAGGGGGATTGACTCTGACATCCCTGATATGGTTTGGCTGTGTCCCCACCCAAATCTCATTTTGAACTGTAGCTCCCATAATCCCCACATGTCATGGGAGGGACCCGGTGGGAGGTAACTGACTCATGGGGGCAGGTTTCTCCTGTGCTGTTTGCGTGATATTGAATAAGTCTCACGAGATCTGATGGTTTTATAAAGGGCAGTTCTGTACACGCTTTCTTGCCTGCCGCCATGTAAGATGGGCCTTTGCTCCTTCTTCACCATCCACAATGATTGTGAGGCCTCCTCAGCCAATGTGGAACTGTGAGTCCATTAAACGTCTTTTCTTTATAGATTACCCAGTCTCAGGTATTTCTTCATAGTTGTATGAGAACAGACTAATACAATACCTGAATAAGACCTTCCCATAAAAGAAGTATGCCAGCTTCCCAATGAGAAGCCATTGCACATCCACACAATGGATGAAACCCAAACCAACCACCCAAAGCTTTTTTCTTAGGTGAAGACATATAACAAAGGACCACCAGGTCTAGAAAAGGAACACAGCAACAACAACAACAAAACATCAAGATAACTAAGCAAAATAACTAACCCAGAGGAAACAGAAAATTCCAAAAGCAGAAGAGACATTTTTAAAGAATCAATTTCTTATAAAGAGAGATCAAAGATACTATTACATCTAGAAAATGATGATAAGAAGCTATGAAAAAGGAACAATCAGAGAACAAGAAATAAATTTTGAGGAATTAAAAGTATAATTGCTTAGATTAAAAAGAAAAGTCAAGTTTCTAAAATAAAGTTGAGGAACTCTCCCAGAATATACACGATAAGATAAATAAGATAAGAGACTAGAAAAGTAATTCAGGAGATCTAACATTTAACTAACAGGAGTCTGAAAAAACTACCAGTGGAAAAAACAGAAACCAGTAATATTTTAATAGATCACCTCAGGGAAGAAGGAATAAAGAAACAGAGCAGGCTGGGCGCAGTGGCTCACGCCTGTAATCCCAACATTTTGGAAGGCCGAGGCAGGCAGATCACTTGAGGCTAGGAGTTTGAGATCAGCCTGGGCAACATAGTGAGATTCTGTCTCTACAAAAAATTTAAAAATTAGCTGGGCATGGTGAGGCACATCTGTGGTCCCAGATACTTGGGAGGCTGAAGCAGGAGGATCACTTAAGCCCAGGAGTTAAAGGCTGCACCTCCACTGCACTCCAGCCTGGATGACAGAGCAAGAACCTGTCTCAAAAAAAAAAAAGAAAGGAAGCAAAGGAGCAGAAGGCTGCTGAATTGAGATCTTAGGAATCTCAAGCTCTTAGATACCATTTACATTGTTACCACTGATACCACGATATTGTTACCATATACACGTATTATGGTTGAGCCTTGAACAATGGGGAGACAAGAGGGACAAATCCCCCAACAGAGTTGAAAATCCACACATAACGCCCCCAAAACCTAACAACTAATGACTACAGTTGACTAAAAGCTTTACCAATAACATAAACAGGTGATTAACGCATATTTTATATATTGTATGTATTATATGCTGTATTCTTACAGTAAAGTAAACTCAAGGACAAAAGGATAAGAAAATCATAAGAGAAAATGTATTTACTATTCATGAAGTGGAAGTGGAAGTTGATCACCATAAAGATCTCCATCCTCGTTATCTTCACGTTGAGTAGGCTGAGGAGGAGCAGGCAGAGGAGGGGTTGGTCTTGCTGTCTCAGGAGTAGCAGAGGTAGAAGAAAACCCACGCACCAGTGGACTCTCACAGTTCACACTAGTGTTGTTCAAGGGTTAACTGTACTTTGATACTGGTAAACAGCATATTCCCAATAACTGAAATGTATCATGTGTACATTTCCACTCTGGAAGGTGTCAGGACCAAGGGTATCTCTTGGAGAATTTAGAATTTTCATCTTTGTCAGCCTTCCAAGCCGCCCCCCCTAAATAAATATACATCCAAGTCAAGTCAACATGATTTCTACATGAAAGCTACTTCAAGACAAGTCCTCCAATTCTCACTCCCTTTTCTAATTAAGTTGCCATCCCACTCTCCTTCAACATAGAGACCCTGGAGTCATCTGTGCTCTGACCTCCCCAGCTGGCCTCAGCTCTCTTCCTCCAGTTGTTTAAGGGACACGTACTAACCTGACTCACTCCCCACTGAAACTCCACCATCTAAAACAGTTTATCCAACCTCTGTTCAATTTCCCTCCATTCATGTAAAGCCAGGGGACTAATCTTTCTTAATAAGGAGGTTCCCTCTACCAAGGGCTAAATTATAACAAGAGTTACCTCTGCTAAGGGGTCATTTTATGCTAGACACTTTCTAAATGTTTCCTCTAATCACCCACCATTCTGCAAACAGATATTATAATATTACCCTCAATTTTAAATGGATAAATCTGAGGTTTCAGGGGGTTAAATAATTTGCCCAAGGACAAAAAGTAAGTGGAGGAGCCAGAATTTTGGCCCACGGTTATCTGACTTCAAAGCCCACACTTTTACATTTCACCACAGCCCTGCCCTAATTATTTATATTTGCATTACATTTTATAAGCACATTTATATATTAACCCAGTTTTATTAATTGAACAACCCTATGATATAAGTTACCAGCCCCATTTTACAGGTGAGAATATTGAGGCCCAAATAAGTTAATGATTTGCTGTTGATCACATGATGCATTCGGTGCCCACTGATTCTTAAAACTACAAGCACCTGTTTTTATGCCACTTTTCAGCTCAGTTTTCGTCATTTGACATTGTACCCTTATGGTGCATCAAGTGTCACTACAACTGTGACTTTTTAGTTTCTGCTGCCAATTGTTTCATGGCCAAACCCTTCATTCTATCACTCTGCACAATCTTCAGTCTGGCCACAAGGCACATCCTCCATCCCTGCCGGGCAGGTCTCCTGGCCGTGCACCCACACTTGCTAAGCTCATCCCCATCTTTAAACCTATGCCTAGGCTCACCCCTTCCTGGGACACTCTGTGTCTTTTATCTGCCCAAATTGTCCCCGTTATTTTAATGCCCATGTCAGATTCCAGGTGAACGTCTATCTTGTCTATCCCTAATAGCCCATAGTATAGGTTTTCACTGCCCTGCATGTTGGGCATTTATAGTTTTCAATCGGACCCCCCTCTTATGTTTATTTATCCCCCGTGAAGGCTTTGTGCTTCAAACCTGCAGGAGCTCTGTGAAGTCAAGGATGAAAACATGTATTTCTTTGTATGTCCCCCATGCCCAGTACTTCGGGCCTACAAGATGCATAGCTTCTAGAAAATGCTCAGCAAACCCTTGAGGAACTAAACTTACAGCTTTTTTGAGTTGTTTGTCCCCAAATCAAGCATCTCTCTTCCCCTGTTATTCAACTTCTCTTGAAAGCTTGCCAGGTCCTCGTGACTTTCCTTTGAGTCATTTGCTTCTCTCCCCCACATTTTCCAGGGTTATTTTTTCCACTGACCTGGTGTTCTGATGTGCCCCATGCATATTCTTCATTTGTCTTTACTTTCTGCTCTTTCACAAAGCAAAATGTGAAATGATCCATGCTTTCATTGGCAAAGTTCAATCTTGGGTTTTCTTCCCCCTCCTAACTGAACCATTCATGTGGAGGAAGCTTTTGATCCAGGATTCAGATACCCAGTCACATTTTACATAACCAGAAACCATGCTAGGTGGTTATGTAAACTCTGTTTTTGACTTGAATAGCCAGACAACAGTCTTTACAATTTAGGTTAAAGCATGTTGTCAGCTTCCATTCATTTCTTATGGTCTGAGTGTCAACGTTATCCCACAATAGTGCTGTCAAAGAGATTCATGAGTGTGTCAGGAGGAATATTTGAAGACAAAAAAAATATATTTTTTAGACCATTTTTGTGGAATGTGTTGTCATTATCATAGAAAATGCCTAAGAAGAGATCAAGTTTGCTCGTACAGTTTAGTGAACAATAGCTAGAAAAGAGGTAATGGCCGGGTGCGGTGGCTCACGCCTGTAATCCCAGCACTTTGGGAGGCCAAGGCAGGTGGATCACGAGGTCAGGAGATTGAGACCATCCTGGCTAACATGGTGAAACCCCATCTCTACTAAAAAATACAAAAAATTAGCCGGGCGTGGTGGTGGGTGCCTGTAGTCCTAGCTACTTGGGAAGCTGAGGCAGGAGAATGGCAAGAACCCAGGATGCGGAGCTTGCAGTGAGTTGAGATTATGCCACTGCACTCCAGCCTGGGCGACAGAGCAAGACTCCGTCTCAAAAAAAAAAACAAAGGTAACATAGATGAGGTAGCCCACTACGAGGCAAGGCAGAGGGTCAACATTCAAGGAAAGTACCTTCATTTATAATAAAATGTCCAGGCAAGTGGCCACTTCTTTAGATACTGATTAACTAAGTGACTTTTTGTTGTTATAAATAACCTTTTATTTTGGCAGGGACTGCTTTCTAACATACATTCACTATCACTTAGCTTTGAGAATTCAGGATATTTCTGGAAGGACATGACAATGAGAGGAAGAAGCATGGAGAAACTGAGGAATCAAAACACAAACTGACCTGTCATGAAATCTCGGGGCGGGGGGCGGGGAGCCACTTCAAGTTTTGAACCAAATGTCCCGTCTTTAGTTCCTGGCTTCTTCAAGTTGCTTTGTCCTGAGGTCTTTGCCCTTTAAAGTTACACCTTTGGCGTCTCCA